>NC_000020.11:9914819-10066335 GCF_000001405.40 Homo sapiens | reverse complement strand
ATGTATAGATAGACTGCAGGACAGAAGGAGATAAAAGAACAGATCAGAATATTTCTTACAGTTTTCTGGGTAAGATGATAAGGTAGACTACGGCGGTAAGGGTGGAGATAGTAGGAGGAAGAGTCACAAGAATTTATGAGATTAAATGGAGTTGAATTGGGGTGGGTGGGTGCTTGGGGAAGCAAGTCATGATGATATCTGGGAGTTTGGCTTTCATAGCAGAATGTTGGTGGTTCCATTACTGAACTAGAAAACACTCGAAGTAAACTAGACTTAAGGATGGGCAGTAGAGGTCTAAAGTTTGATTTGGGAATTGTTGAGTTTCAGGAGCGTTTGTAAATTCAAGAACTGATGTCAAGTATAATTAGATATGTTTCTGTAGGCTTAGATGAAATAACTACGCTTAAGACACAAATGTGGGAGTCATTCCAAGGAGAGAGTGCAAATGAGCTTGCCTAGGGAGAGCTCGTAGTGTGAGATGAAGGTTTGAAACTGAGTCTTGAGAAATTCCGACATTTAATGGTCAGGCGGAGGTTGTAGTAGCCACTTTTTTGGTTTGTTTTCTTCTCCATCTTTCTCTTCTTTCTTTATTCCTTTCTTTTCTTCCCCTCTCTTTTTTCTTCTTTTTCTTTCTTCCTTCCTGTCTCCTTTTTCCTTCCTCCCTTCATTTTTCTTCCTTCCTTCCTTTCTTTCTCTCTCTTTCTCTTTCTCTTTCTCTCTTTCCTTCTCTTTCTTTCTCTTTCCTTCTCTTTCTCTTTCTCTCTTTCCTCTTTCTTTCTCTTTCTCTTTCTTTCTCTTTCTTTCTTTCTTTTTTTTCTTTCCTTTTCCCCTTCCTCTTCCCTTCCCTTTTCTTTCTGCCTTTCCAGCATCCCTAACTCTTTTTTTGGGGAAGAATAATCCCTACTTTTTCTTGGGAGCCCACACCTATACAAGTAGCAGTCTGGTGTTTTGGGTAGAGTGACTCATTCCCTGAGTCATGGGCTGACAAAATGATCTGGCCAATCAGAATCTTGTGTCCTGTTGTATAATGACTGGTGTGGAGAAAGACCCTTGACTCAAGCCTGACCATTGAGAGTGCGATCAGGGTTTTCACAGGACCAGCTGGGAAAGAGTACCTCATTTCACTTGGAGTTCTAGGATGTAACCCTGGAGCTTCTGGTGGACATCTTTGCTACATTCTAGCTAAGGTTGGAGCTCACACAGACTAAAGCCAAGTAGAGAGAGCAAGGGAGCCAGACAGTGAGAATGTCAGCAAGCAAGGAAGAGAGAAATGGTTTTCAGGGAAGATGTTTTGCCTCCAGTCTTGCTCAATCCACCCCTTGAAATTCTGTATTAAGAATTCTCTTTTTCTAAGTCTTAATAATTCTCTTGTTATTGTCTGCTGGTGTTGAGAGTCCTGATGCAAAAAGCATGGCTACAAAGGATATTGAGAAGCACCAGGAAACTGTGGTGTTGCTAAAGTCAAGAAAATTTCTAGGACAAGGGACGAATCAGCAGAATCAAATGGAAATCCATCACTTTCCAAATCCATATGGTTGTCTTACAAATCTCTCCAGGATGTGGCTTTGGCCTCTTTTCCCTGACCATTTTTTATTTATTTCTTGTCACATTGCTTTTATTTCACTTGCTGGAATGGGTCTGCACTGCAAAATGCTGCTGCTTCTACTCAATTCCTCTCTTCCCTCTGGGTCAACTTAATTCCTCACTCATTCTTTAGAGTTCAGCTAAAATACCATTTCATTAGTGAAAATTTCCCCTATTCTGTAGCACCACTATAAGTTCATATGTTGTATAAGGTAGCGTTACCTTGCAGCTATCCTGGGGTAGCCCTCTGTTTGTCTCCTGGGATGCTTGAAGTCTGGTCAAGGTAAGAATGAAATGTGCTACTGAGGACTTTATAATGTGCAATGTGCTATTTAAAGCTCGAAATTCCCCTGGAGGCAGCCTGTATTAGCTTGTCTACATTGTTTAGGACTGTATAGACTGATAGTTTGTACCTGGTCTAACAGGGTATACAGCCTGGGTTTAGCTACATGGCTGGTGGGTATGAAAGACCCCTCAATAAATTATATACCTGGACTCACACTTACGGTGATCGTATATAATCTGAAGATAAAATGTGTCCTGTACCGAGTGATTAAAATGGACCCTGGGGGGCTGTGCCTGGAAGCCCTAGACCCCTCTGTGATCATCTGTGCTCTGTGTCCTAATGTATCCTTCACCTGTATTAAAACCTTACTCAAATACACACTGTGAAATCTTGTGAGTCTTTTGATAATCTTCAATTATTCAATCTTGTGCAATCATCTCATAAGTATTTTAGGATTATTCTATGAAAATATGCTTTTCCTACGAAACTATAAACTCCATGAGGGCAGGGGCTATTCCTGGTTTTGCATTCCATTTTATCCAGACATGCCATTGTGCTTGATACGTGATTAATCAGGATCCACATGGGAAAGCAGAAACAACTCTGAGTTCCTACAGAATGGAAGTTAATGGGAGGATTTGGTTGCACAAGCAATAGAAGAGGCTGAGGAAACAACCAGAGCACAGTGAGGCAGCCCTGAGACTAACAACAAAAGAAGCTGGTACCACCCTTGGAGGCTTAAGGGACAGAGGGAGTGGGTAGTACTACCAGAGCCTAGGGGCCAGGGTCACATGAGGGAGGCTAGGACCACAGCAGGATACACAGCTCCCCACACAGTGGGGAGTGGAGTCATGGGGGAGACAGACACAGCTGTTGACGGGGATGCCGACAAAGGCAAAGATGGAAAGGGGGAACTACCTGGCTTTTCCTCTCCTCCCTCTCTCATCTTTTGTTGTCTCCTGTTGTCTGGATCCTACTGGAAGCCAAATAATGCAGAAACCTGGGACATGCAAACTGGATGAATTGCTCTCCTGTCATGCACCATGAAGAGAGCAAGGAACAGACCTAGGATTTTCATTATCGGTGCTCAATAAATATATGCTGAATGAATAAAACCAAATTGTATGTAGAACAAGGGCTGCTGATAGATTCAGCATTCTGGCAGTAGCAACCTTGGACATCATGAAAAGTCTCAATCTCTAACTGAGACGCATGTGTTATATGGACCAGAGGTCTGCAGAGTCTGAACACACAAGGTCTGCCTAGGTACTCTCATTCCATGATTTTCTATTGCTGATCAATTCTCCTTCTGGCTGACTTGTTAGCTTTGGGAAGTGTTGGGAAGTGTTGCTTTAGTGTGAGATATATTCAGACATCAATAATACTCATTGCTCATTTAATTCTTTATGTGTTAATTTCATTATTTAATTTTTATGAGGGAATACTTATTTCTCTCACTTATTTTTCTCACTTCTAATGCTTTTCAGAGGAAAGCATCGAACTGCAGCCTGCGAGTCTCAATAATGAACAACATAACAATCTCCCACATTTAGAAAAATATATGGCTATTTCAAACCATCTTACAAAAAGTCATTAAGCCTATGAAAAATAAATCTTTTTTTGCATATTAATTCCTCTTCAAAGTCTTATTTACTGAAGATAAAAGGAAAATACCATCATTAATCCTGAATAAACACATACCTACACACACGTATCACATCATACATCACACAATACTCAATTATTTATCTAGGATAAAAGAAATCTCCAGTAAGTTCCAGAATCTCAACAGAATATTCAGTTCTTCCTTATTACTCAGATAAAATTCATGATGTAGTAATAATTACCTAAGGATCTATGAATATTAGCACATGGTTATTTGATATACACAAACACCCCATCTACCTTCATTTGTAAACTTCCCCTAGGATGCATTGTTACAGAAATACAAATCCATATAATGAAATATACATACTGTGTAAATAGTTAATAATACCATAGTTCAGATGACTGTTTACTTCAAATTTATGCCAGTGTGGAGAAGGCATTTGAATTTTCCCATTTCTCTCTTTTTACACCACCCGTTTTGAAAAAAAGTACAGGCTCAGTAGTTCTTTTGGGCACTTTTCACGGCTACATTGTGACTTTAATAAAAGTTGCTAAACTAACTTCACTGGGGATGATTGATTTGTACCAATTAGACATTACCTTATCCTGAGCATAAGGCTGAGTACATCTTTCTGTCTCTCATGTTTATCATTTTTAACCATTGATAACACTAAAGTTGGTAACACTCAAGTTGTGATTCCCCTTTCAACTAGCTGCCAAATCAGTTATCAATGCTGTTCTTGCTCATTCATCTTTATTCTTAACAATGAGGCAAGTTCAGAAGTTTGTTGAAGTTAATATTCTTTTTAAAAACAAAGTGTGTCATGCAAAGTGATCTCAAGGAGTCACCATCTGAAATTTTGCACCTGAACTTTGCACACAAGAGCATGCCATTTGTAGCAGATGCTGTTGGTACGCTGCCCAGATCCCCTTAACCAGCTGGCCCACCCAGTGCTCAGCTGCTGTGGTTGGAGGCTAAGTGCTACCCACTTCTCTGGGGATTGCCTTTGGCTGATCAGAGCCACCTTGCGAATCAGCCAGGTGACACTTGAAAGGTTTCTCTCCTGACAAGGGGCTGGTTAATGACTGATTGATGCAGGATGTAACAGGCAGGCTTCTTCCCTCTGGGCAGGACAAACCTCTGTGGTTCCATTCATCCTCCAAAGCTCTCCAGGAAATTAGGCTGGTGCTAATGCCCTCCTGAGATCACAACCTTCCCTCAGATCTTTCCCTGCTTTATTCTGCTTCTCTCATTCCCTGACATGTTCCTTCTTAATAAGTCACTTGCACTAGAGTCCCCATCTCAGCTTCTATTTCTAGGAAGCTTGATCTAAGACATTATTTTAACTACCTAACTAGTAATTACCTAGATAACCTTTGGGCCACTATCCACAGGAACTATACTGAAATTAGTAAGTATATCTCATGGCAAATAGGGATTTTTCATTTTTCTCTGATTATCAGAAACTGGATAAAGTAGATAAATATGTAGATAAAATATCTACATGTTTAGGGCCAGGTGCGATGGCTCACACCTGTAATCCCAGTATTTTGGGAGGCAGAAACAGGAGGATCACTTGAGGTCAGGAGTTCGAGACCAGCCTGGCCAACATGGTGAAACCCCATCTCTACTAAAAATACAAAAAATCGGTAGGCTGAGGCAGGAGAATCTCTTGAACCCAGGAGGTGGAGGTTGCAATGAACTGAGATCATGCTACTGCGCTCCATGAGACCCTGTCTCAAAAAAAAATATATATATATACACGCACACACACATGCACACACACACACACACACACACACATATGTTTAAATGACTTCGATGGTCTGAAAGTGAATCTGCTCCAGGAAGCCTTTTCTGTTCTGACTGTTCAGGTCTGGGTCCTTATTCCTTCCTGTGCCTTCTTTTGGTTCACTTTTCAGATAGAGACTATAAGATGGTTAAAAACAAACCATATGTTGACCACCAACCAGGCATGGGCACAGACTGAGCATCCTTAAAGACATTATTCCACTAGAGTCTCATAAGAGTTCATTGAGGGACGTATTATTATCCCTACTTTATAAATGATGAAATTCGGAGTCATGACCCTTCATAACTTGATCCATAGGCAAGCAGGCAGTAAATGCAGATGACTAACAATATGCAGATTCAAATCCAGGTCTGCTAATATAAAACCCACAGTCTTACCCAGTTCACCGAAGTGTAAATTTAAAGATAAGTGCATGTGTTCCCTTTCCTGTGCTATGCACGCAGTTACAGCTTCTGCATGCTTTCTAGCCAATAGTTCCCACCATGACCTTTGCAGACTTGCCCTCGAGCACTGGAACAGCCTCGCCAGTACACCCTCAATCCTGCAGCTGCTCACTGATACAGGAACCCAGAAGCCCAGCTCCTTGCCTGTGCGCTACAGCTCCCCACGGGCTACTCAGAAGCTGTGGTTTCATCTGAAAGCGCACCCTTGTTTGGCTCCTTTCATTTCCGTGTCCTGTTTCATACCCCTCACCCCATACTGCTCTCCCCTGGGAGCACTTCCTTCACACATCATTTGCTCCTGAACTCTTGGCTCCGTTCTTCTGAGAGAATCTTAATGCAATGCACAAAAAGGCATAAAAGAGGCAAATACTAATAAACTCACTTTGGTATTATGGACTTTGGTGTTAACTTGTGTTTTTTCTTTTTTAAAAAAAAATTGTTAATTCCAAAGTAATACGTGTACATTGTAAAAAAAAGAAAAGAAAAAGAAAAACAGAAAATACAGGTAAGCCAAAATAAAACAATAAAGGTCAGATAACTCATAAAGACCCAGAAAAATTACTATTTATGTACATGTTGTGCATTTGCAAGTCTGATATTATACTACTTATAATGTAGGTACTTTACATGCAACATTGACAGTCTTTTTATGCCAGTAAGATTTCCTCTACAAAATTTTCGTTACGCTCATATAGACTTCAGTACCATAATTTTGGGCGGCAGGTAGTGGGAGCAAGCTCCCTGTGATGCTGCTGGCCTGTGGATCACTCTTTGAATAGCACTGATGTTCTTATGGGCCATTGTTAGAACTGTGGCTATGCTATGTTTGGGTTTAGCATTAAACTCCAAATAAACTCAGTCAATTGTGTGACTGTTCCCCTCACACAATTCCCCTTTAAACATGTTGAGCCATTAAAATGAATACAAACACTCCGTATGTGGGGAAAGAGAGTTAATAGGACCTAACATTAATGCTTACTCTCAGTTTATATTTGCAAGTGGCTGAAGGTGATCCCAGGACACCACTATCTATCAAACTGACATTTAAAAAATGTACTCACTAGAGTGAAAACAGAAAGTGATCACCTCTGAAAATCTGCTGTTGCAGATTCATTTTCCTTGTTCCTGAACGAAGCCAAAGGTAGGCATTTTCCCTCACATTCAAGAAATAAAGAGTCCTCTGATTGTTTTAGAAAACAAAATGTCTTTTTATCAGGAGCCAACTTGAAGGGTTTTCCCCTAGTTAAATCAGGGACAATTTGAGCATCAAAATTAATAATGAGAGTAAAGGATCACATAGGGGAGGATTAACTTTTCCTCTACCCTCTTAGGTTCAATGCCTGGAGCCTGTGAATTAAACTGACAAAAGGCATTTTAACAGGAGAAAACAAGTTTATGCATGCAAGGCATATACACTTGGGAGAACTCAGTGATGAGTAACTGAAAGGGATAGTTAAAATCGGTGGCTTATAATCATCTTGATAAGCAAAGGGGAGGGGGAGAAGACATTTATGTAAACACAATGACTTTTTACAAAGATACATGAGTTTTCAGGTGAACAAACAGGAGATAAAAAAGTACGTGATAATGTTTATCTATACAGGTATAAATGGTCCTTAAATTTCCTTCGGGGCCATACAACACTTCTGGAGAAGGGATTTGGGGTAGGATTACTTGTGTTCTAGAAGTAGATCAAACCTGAAGAGGAATTTATGGCAGCCTTATTTCCTAGAAGTTACTGCTTGTAGTCAGATAAGCAAAGGTCTGAGAAGACTTTTTTTTCCCCTGCATATGGTATGTTAAATCTCAAATGTCTTTGGCTTAAAATAATCTTTATACCAACTCTGGAGTTCTGAGTTGGTCCCCACACATATATAATTCGCATTAAATAAAAAGGGAATGCATGAGTCTGTACTGATTTGAGTACATAAATTAATAAGGAAGAAAAGAAAGCTCTGCCCAACAGCAGAAGGCCAAGTAAGAAATGGAAAGAATGATAAAATGTAGAAATTATTTTATGGCAACTGTCACTGTAATAATTATTTTAGGCGAGAATCATCCATGGATGCTAAAATTAGTAGGTGAAAGTATGAAAGTAGAAGGAAATTTCCATAGTTTCAAAGTATCTATCTATCAGATATTCATTAAGTACAAGGAAAACTACTAGAGAGTTACCGGCACCAACTCTCCTTACAATAAAAAAATCCATGTATAAGTTTTGCCTCCCAAAAAACTTAGATACTAATAACTTACTGTTGACCAAAAGCCTTACCCATAGCATAATCAATTAACACGTATTTTGTATGTTATAAATACTGTATTTGTGCAATAAAGTAAGCTTGAGAAAAGACAACAATTGAACTCAACACAATAGCAACAGGAGGTGGCTATGAAATTATTACAGTTGTACAGTATGTACTACAGTTAATTTTATGCAGTTATGATTTATTACTGCAGCTTTACTTTTATTTACATTTCTCTCAACTGCAAATGCAGTTAAAGTTTATATCAGGTATCAACATCATGTGCCTCCTGATATGATGTACTGAGAAGGGTGCAATGACATCTGTAGCACTGCTGCCCCAAAAGCATCACCTGAATCTATTCTTGAAGACATTTAAGACAAACCAAAGTTGAGAGACATTTTACAAGATAAAAGTGGCTTGTGTTCTTCTTATATACTGTCATAAACAAACAAACAAACAAACAAACAAGAAATACAGGTTGTTCTAAACTAAAAGAGACTAAAGAGATGGGGCAAGCGAATGTATTTCATGACCTGGGAGTACAAAGGAAATTATTGGGATAAATAGCAAAATCTGAATAAGGTCTATAGATTAAATAGTTCACTTAAGTGTTAATTTCCTTAGTTTGCCAATGGTAATATTGTTATGCAAAAGAACATCGTGATTTTAGGAAATACACAATGAAATATTTAAAACATCATGTCTTCAACTGACACACAAATATGAAAACATCATGTGAAGAACATCATGTCTTCATCATGTCTTCAACGGACACACAGATAGTTCGGGGACAAAAATTAAACATACATATGCATATATGTAGAGGGAGAAAGAGATAGAGCAAATGTGGTAAGTGGTTAACATTTAGGTAATCTGGGTAAAGGGCATATAAGAATTCTTTGTCAAATTATTGCAACTTTTCCATAAATATGAAATTATGTCAAAACAAAAAGAAAAGAGAGAACAAAAAAACCAACCAAAACCTTACAAAACAGACAAAATTTAGTTGTAATAGCAAATCTTGGGATCCAAATGCAATGCTTGTAAGCAACCCCTGTTCAGGTCTGTCTCCTCCAGAGGGGTGGGCCTGGTTACCTGCTTCATTCTCTCTCTTCCCTTCTCCTCCCTAACTGGCTCCTGTGGAAGGTCCCTCCAAGGTTGGAAAGAGAGGGAGGAGGTTAGAGGAAAGGGGTTTAATCCATACGTGACTGACAGAGCTGTAATCTGCAATTGGTGCCTTCTGGTAAGGCAGATTCTAAAGTGGCTTCTTTCTGTCAATGAGACGTTGGATATTTTTGGAGCTCCTGTTCGGTACCCACTGCATTTCTTGGTGTGAATAATGCCTCAGCTAGCTTTTTACTGCAGAGTACACCTCCAGAGATGGTCAGTTTTATGACTCAACTTGGCTAGGTTGTAGCACCCAGTAACTCAATCAAATACTAATCTTAGGTGTTGTGGTGAAGGAATTGTGTACATGCAACCAATATTTACAATTCATTGACTTTATGTAAAGGAGACTGCTTTAGATAATCTAGGTGAAACTGATCCCATCAGTCGCTTTAACAACAGTTGAAATTTTCACAATCGTAATCTGGTTAGGTAAATGGATGCCTTTTATTTTAGGAAAGACATACTGAAGTATTTAGGTGTATGAACAAAACTGAGGTTTCCATGATGAAGAAGAAATTCCACTTGTGGACTTCAGGGACAGCTCCTGCATGTTTCCAGCCTGCACTTCCTGATAGCCTACCCTACAAATTTAGCACTTAACCATCTGGGGCCCAAAATTATGTAAACCAATTATTTGCAATAAATCTCTATCTATCTATCTATCTATCTATCTATCTATCTATCTATCATCTATCTATCTATCTATCATCTATCTATCTATCATCTATATATCTGTCTATCTGCCTTTCTAGCTAGCTAGATACCTAGCTGTCAGGTTGGAGCAAAAGTAATTGCGGTTTTTGCTGCAATTAAAGGTTATGGCAAAAACCACAATTACTTTTGCACCAACCTAATAGCTATCTATCTAGGGCTAGGGCTATCTATCTAGGGCTAGGGCTATCGATCTAGGGCTGTTAAAAGTGTATTCAACCCAAGGTATCTAATACACATAGTTTATAATGGCATGTGAGAAATAAACTCCTTCCTTAAAAGATTAAATATTACTTCTTTTTCCAAAACCTAAATTGTTTCATCAATTTCCACTAGAAATGTATCTTCAATAAGCAGGCTGGGCACAGTAGCTCATGCCTATAATCCCAGCACTTTCGACGGCCAAGTTGGGAGGACTGCCTGAGCTCAAGAGTTCGAGACCAGCTGGGGCAATATAGTGAGACTCTGTCTCTATTTAATAAATAAAAAGGATAATTAAAAAAATAATAAGCATAATGGTGTAGACCTGGTAAATCTTTTGACAGCAACGTTTATAACCCACATGCCATGTATTTCACTACATTCATAAAGGGGCTTGGGGATTTATCCAGAATGACATACCATTCATTTCAAAATAACATACATCTTTTCTCTAGACAGCTAAGAATATTTATAGTTGTTAAAGCAAAAAGAAATTCTTGGTAACAAGTTCTTGGTGTATGGATTGCTTTGGCTTTGATGGAAATATCTACTTTCTCCAAAGATTGGTCCCTGGGCCTCAAAGCATTTACCCCAAGAAATAACTGCTATGACTTAGGTCTTCAAGGCAGCTTCCAGTGCTCGAGCTTTCTCTGTGATGTTCTTCTGAAAAGGCATCATAAAATCGTCGAAGTCCACCTCATGTGTAAACCTCTCTCGCCGTAGTTCCCTCTTCCTGATCAGCTCTGCTGTTGTGGCTTCAGGACTCCAAATCTTAAAAAGAAAAATAGCCATACCCCAGCAGGTATGAGTATGACAGCCAGTAAATATGCTAATATCCAGACAATTTTCAATACACAGTTTTAACTTAAAAATTTGTTTATAGTTTTAACTTAAAACTATTAAATTTACTTTTAGATGTGTTTTAACTTCTTCCCCCCCTCTCATATGACACTAGTGGTTGCACGAGCATCACTGTTTTTGATGATGACTGTCTAGACAAATAATGTCGGAAATATTATTCAGTTACTTCTCTGGCCAGTTATGCTCAGACCAGCTGCTGTGCGTTTTTTAGGATGCCAAAACAGGGAAGCAAAGGAATTAGAAGATCATCTAGGTTTACTACCTATATGTCTTATGTAGAAGTCAAAATTATTTTTATAATAGAAGGCGAGGGGAGCTGCTTGTTCAGCCTGGTTGGATGGCCAATGGAAAGACAACTCTTTTCTCCAAAAGATGTCTCCACCTCTTTAGTTGTGGAGGTTTTCGGAAGCTACTGAATAAATCCAGTCTTGATTTATATGAAACTCCTGCATGAGCTGGTAGTAGTTAAGTACAAAGAAGGGTTGGGTCTGAGAAGTACCAAAAAAAAGTATCCTTAGGAGTTAGTGATTAAACAGCTGCAGATCATGCCATTGATTCAGAAAGACTTCAACCTTTCTAGGAAAATGTAAATCTCAATACAGAAATAGTAATAGAAAGAGAACTAGATGCCGGGAGCTATCACTTGGGCATACTGAGTTGAAAGTACCAGAACCTGGCAAAAGAACATTCACAAGTAGTAACTATGAAAGACAAACTGTGCAGATTTGTTTGGATATTCTACATAAAAAGCTTTTGAAAAAATGACATTATGAGCTTCTACCATGCTATGAAGATCTTTTCGAAGCACTTACCCTCCGTGGAATAAATGTGATATCCACTTTCTTAGTATAACCACTGGTAATCAATGAATTCAGATGAACCACATTACCCTTCTGTACTTTCTTTCCCTCTGATGTGGTTGGTACACCATAAATTGATGACAGCAGTTCCTGGAAACAAGAACAAAAAAATTATAAATTGTAAAAATCTATACTGATTTTCTAATATTATTTGCTGTTTCACATCTTACTCTGAAGCCAGAAAGAAACCTAAAAATGCTACTGTACAAGTTATAATTTGAGATAAAATAGTATATTATTATAACTTTGGGGATGGGGAGAGATAGTTTGCCTTGTTTAACTTTAATTAGAAGTATTGGTAGAAGATCACGTAAGTCTTTGAGATACCCATCCTTGATCTGTGGCCTACTAAAATGACAATGGAAGAACTTTAGTTGACTGATCCTCCTTCACCTTTTGCCATTCTAACATCCTCCATGTTTATAAGTCTGCTGTCTGTCTACAATCCCTTCATCCTATCTACTCCCTACCACCTACATTTCCCCAATGCTTTCCAATTTGATGACACTAAAACTTTTCCTTCTTGACTTTCATCTCTTGTCCTGTGTCAGCCAAGAGTCTCCAGTAGATATTCTGCTCCCTTAAGAAAAGCTTCCAATCTAGAGACACACTTAGGGGTTTCCTGCTAATGATAAAGTCTTGATGTCTCAGTAACTCCCATGGGCAACAACTTCAACCTTCCACTGCAGTTTAGAAGTTCCAAATCACTCCGGATTACCAGAAACGTTGAAAACCTACAACCATTTTGCAGGATATTCTAGAGACAATGGCTCCGTATCCCAGAATTCAGTGGTATTCATTAAAATTCCTTGGTGGAGGCGGCAGGTGGGAGGAAGGGGAAGTGGTGGGCAATGAAAGGGGATATGGTGGTAATGAGACCAAAATGAAGAAAAATCATGCTTTACTTCACTCCTCATAAGGGTTAATCTCCTTCCCTATTTGGACCATCTCATCAAATCTGTATAATTCAGGACCAAATATATACAAATCCAACACCAGTTTTGGTTTTCTTTTTCAACATTCTAATTGTATTTGGCTGAACCCATTTGGTTTTTGTATGGATTCTCTTTGCAGTGAGTACTTTTTAGGCTCTTCAGTGATAAGAATTTTATTAGATATTTCTTTAAAAGTACTATATAATAATGCTATTGAAAGTATGCACTGCATATTATCTTACCCATGTTGTATAACAATATGTAAATAGTGCTTCTGCCTTCCCCCAAACAGATTTTTAAAGAGTTCCAGTTACTAATGGGTAGTCAACCATTTTTCTTACCTCTTCTTTCTTAATTTCAGGGCCTTCAGTCTTCAGTATAGGAGGTGTCTTGCCTTTTAGTTTTTGATTTTCTGCTGGTTTCGGCAAGTTATCTAGCTTTTCTTTAATCAGATCAATTATTCTATAATCAGCATATGCCTTTGCAACGTCCATGGCACTATGCCCTGTTGAAACATAAACATAAATTCAGAGTGACTATAAACATATTAATGATAAACCATGTAGAAAAATATCTCAGCACATCAGCTCTAAGCCTGCCCTAATAAGGGTGATTCCTAAAGCAAGGGGTATATATACAGAAGTTCACAGAGCTAGATCAGATTTTCTCTATGGCGGTCCCAGCTTTAAGATCCCATGATTTATAGTGCCATCTAAATACAGAAAATTACTTTTCCTTAGTTTTTTTTTTACTATGTTTCTTAAAAGAGTGATAGGAAATATTATATTACATCTTAAATATCAAATTGATTATTCTCTCCCCACATTGTGCAAATTTCCTTCTATGTGATAGATAATTTTACATTATCTTCCCCTTTCCTTGATGTAAGGAGGTAAATTCCAAAAGGTCTGGGGAAGCTAGTGGCCACAGGTGCTCCAGGCAGATGGCTGGGCAATATGTTACCTATAATATCATCAGGCAGGACAGGTGCAGTAGTATCTGTGACTCAGAGGCAGCCTGAACCAACCAGAGGTATGATGCTCCTCAGTCAAAGGAAGCAATGGCTTCCAATGTAGGAAAATGGTACTTCCAAACAAGGAGCTCAAATATATTCAAATGATTTTTTAATTTTTCCTGTATGGTATTTATGATACAAGGTAGGTTGTGTGTTTACTTCCTAGAGTCAGGGAAGCCTCAATTCAGGAATTGCTTTGTCCAGCTTTAAGAGAAACCCAAAGTCTATAGGGTATGCAATTATTAGTAATTAACAGTCATAACAGTGTAATAACTCAGTGTCATCTGCAAACTGGTGCAAGTCCACAGACTAATAGTTACTGATCCATAATGAAGTAACTACAGAAACTAAGTATTTATAAATGTTTTTAGCAACTTAATATAATTTTCTGTCATTAAAATTTAAAGATTAAAAACAAAGTTTTGGCCTTGTATTTTTTTCATTTTATTTTTCTAATAAATAATTTTATTATATTTTACAAAAGTATTTCAGTCCATGAAAGATTATAAACATAAAGAATTGGCCCTCCAACACCAATGAGTGGAGAAGCACTTGGTATAAGATAAACTTCCATAACATTTAACTCAGGCTTGTGTTTGTACCAGGAACCCAGTGGACAATGCAAGCCTACGAGAATAGAATCAGAAGGGGCTTAGAATCTAACATAAGTTCTCCTTTTCTAACCCTAATCATCAATAATATGAACGCATACCTTTTCTATTTTCCAGCTGGAATTTAGCACCAATATCAAGTAGGTATTTTACTGTATCCAGTCTGCAGCTTTCAATGGCTCTATTTAAAGGAGTTGAGTTGTTGATTGAAGCTGCATCTATTAAAGCTCCAGATTCAACAAGAAGCTCAACAATGTCTTGTTGGCCTGCATGGCATGCAAAATGAAGTGGAGTCCACAGAAAGTTATCTGTTGCATTAACGTTAGCTCTGTAAAATAAGATAGATGAACAAACTAAAAATACGGTTTTCCAATGACTGGACACTAAAAATGCAAAGTAAGATTTCATAGAGTTCTATCAAGTTGCTAAATTGTAAACTTTGTGCCATAATTTTTCTTCAAACCTCTTTGTTCTGCATTATTTGACAGTCTTAACTTTCTTTGTGTATATCTACATTAAAAGGCACTTTAGATTCTAGGGATTACGATTTGCAAAGGTTAAAATCAAGGAAAATTATAAAATCAGATCCAATGAAGATAAAAGCTGACAGGACATATTTCATTTTGTGACTTTCTCTGCATGTAATACATTTTTAAATGAAACTTCATTAATAAATTATAAATATTACCATGTATTATTTAACATTTTAGTCCTTTTTAGAAATTCACTGTCCAGAAGTTCATATTCTCATTAGTTGCTCTCTTGATAATATACAAATTTGAGTCTTTCTTTAACATTAAAGTACTAATAAGATTAGTACTTTATTTCTCAAGTATGTAACTACTGTGTTAACAAGAGCTTTACATATTTTAACTCATCTAATCTTCAACTAATCTTGTGGCATGAGTCCCACTACAGTCTCATTACATACATGACAGAACTGAGGCACAAAAATATTAAGAAACTCACCCAGGTTATACAACTATGGTAGAAGAAGGAATTAAACCTGAGTGATTGTTGTAGTCTAAAAAGTTAAGTATTATAAAACTCTCATGATTTGATATTTTAAAAATATTTACATGACCAAGGAAAAGGATGCCCCACACTGGAGGAGGGCAGCAGGTTTTGGGACCAAAGCATGTTATTATAGCCACCATTCCACTTGTTTGAAGTTGTTGAGATCCTCAAATAGAGGCAGATTAAAAAGTGACTCCACACCATCTAGGTGAAGCTCTGAGACAGGACTGAGCCGTGCTGCCACTGATAGAAGGCCAGTAATAATCAGAAGACTCTATTCACCCTGAGTAAACACTTACTGGCCTTCACTTCATGCATAATTGCTATTGGCAAAATATATTTGTGCACACACAATCCTATGCTCCCATTATCCTGGTTTCCCATATAAGATCTATAGGCTTAATTAATTTATTATAGGCTTTAATAAAGGGGCTAGGAATCTAACATAACATAAATCTAACATAAATTCTCCTTTTCTAACCCTAGCCATCAGTAATATGAACACATACTTTTATAGGGCATTTGTTAGACTTTAATAAAGCCTGTAATAAATCAGCATTTTTAATAAAGCATTCTTTAATAACATTCTTTAATGAAGCCTATAAGTTAATTGTTAATAAAAGGCTTTTATATATTAAAGCCTTATTATAGACTTTAATAAAGTAGCACTTTTCTATATTACTAAAATTCGGTCATCTTTTCACTTCCTTGAAATGTGAAGACTCGTGAAAATTTAGGCCACACCCGACGGAGACGCGTACCCTTTTTCAAGAAGAAACTTGACCACATCTATGTTTCCACTTGCACACGCCGTCATTAGCGGAGTTTTGTAATAATTATCCTTCATATCCACAGGTATTCCTGATTCAAAGGCCTTTTTCAGAGAAGCCAGATCCCCTGCTTTGGTGATAATATTAATGTTTGAAAATACCTTCTCTGAATCATCAATGTACCAAACAGAGTCATCCTGAATGGGATGTTCTGGGGGATGATCTCTATTAAACCGGCTGCTATCAGTGACATTCTTGTAGGTCTCAATCATGTAATACGGTGGCCCACCATCCTGCCGGCGTGGAAACGCGTACTCAGGAATGACACAGATTGGAAGGGGTAAGACAAATTTCCCTTTCTTTCCTTTTTTGCCCATCCCTTTTTCCTTTTTCTTAGGTCCATACGATCCTAAGACAAAAGACTTGTTTAAATATCTGGTTCCTTTAAAGAATTCATTAATATTGACCCCTCCTCCCCGGGTTTTCTCATGAAGGTGAGCGATGGCAGCCAGCTGTTCTGAGCTTGCATAATCCTGCCTTTCCTCCAACACCATCACGAAGTCGTTCTTGCTGATGCTTCCATCACCCCTGTCTAAAACCGCAAAGGCTTCCCGGAGGAAAGCCTCACGTTCTACGGACCAATCGTGCAGTCTAAGGGCCCACAGTGGATTTGGATTTTTGGCTCCTGGCCTGGCTAGTTTATTAGCGATTCTCTCTGCTCGGCGTATTTCTTTGCTTGCTGCTTTGAAGCCGCCTTCCTTAGCCACAGCCCTGGGCGTTTTATGATCTAAATTCTTCCATTTCAGGTCACATCCTAAAACATAAAGCATCATTAATTATGAATGGTGCCAAGGCATTTGCATGGCTATAAGTGACACTCATCCAACTGTTTTCTTAATTTCTCGTGATTAGTAAAAAATGTGTCCCCAAATTATATGTATATAGAGATGTGCACATTTTGCTGTTATAATTACAAAATTGAGCTGTGATTTTTTTTTTCTGTGAGCATCACTTTGGTGAATTCTGAAGAAGATACGTTTACAATTTACAATAGGATTAGAACATTTATCCCTAGAGATATTTGAAACACACACCATATTGGTACACTTGCTCAGGGGACTTCAGGCCAACAGGAAAAGAGCAAGGATACATTTAAATTTGGAAAGAAGCTGGATTCAAACAGCTTACCTAGGACCTTATGAACTCAGATCTGAACCTGAAAAGATGCAGAATACCCACTTCCTTTTGAATGATTTAAACTGTAAATCTGTGTATAATTTTAAGTATATTTTTTCCGTATTCTTCATTAAATAATGTAATTTATACTAATCTGCTGTTTTGTGGTATGGCCATATGAACAACCTTCACAGAGGAAAAAGTAATTGTAATTAAATCTGAGGAGTTCAGCATTATATTTATGTGCAAGTTAGACATTAAAATTCATTTTCCTTTTTGGTCCCTTATTTAACAAAATGATGATTCCAACATCATTTATAAATATTCACCAAAGAAATAAACTTTTTTGAACATGTTAGGGAATCCATTTAGTGCTACCAAAAAGGCTGTGTTGTCTATAATAAGTATATGTATAAGTAAGACTTTGAAGAAGCAGTCAGACCATGTTTTTCAAGATTAATACTTTCCTTAGTATTGCCAAAAATTAAAATTGTATACGATGGGTAAAAAAATAGAAAGAATGAATAACACCTACTATTTGATAGCACAACAGGGTGACTACAATCAATAACAATTGTATGTTTTTAAATAGCTAAAAGAGCGTAATTGGATTATTTGTAACACAAAGAATAAATGCTTGAGGGGATGGATACCCCATTCTAGAGGATGTGATTATTAAGCATGGTATTCCTATATCAAAACATTTAACATACTCCACAAATATATATACTTACTATCAAAAAAATAAAAAGTAAAAAAAGAAAAATAAATCTATTTTACTACACAAACACACACACACACACACACATTTTTATACTAAGGCTGATAATTTTACTAGTAGTAGAAAAACTAAAAAAGACTATGGGGACAATAAAGGTTATAAAATTTCTATATTGGATAGTTTTAAGAACAGTGACTCTATAGTGTAATTCCATAGCGTAGTAATTCCATAGTGCAATTCCATACTAATTCTGATATGCTGTTTTTACTTAGCTATTTATTTTGCTTACTCAGGGTGTCTGGGGGGTTTTGATCCCACCTCTCAAGCCTCTTCTTCTATGTTCACCCAGCACTAAGGACCAAAGGATTTTCATCCTGTTTTAGCTTACCCTCTGCAGCTTCCAGCTTAATCCTAGTTAGAAACTTCCATGTGTATAAAAGACTCCAACATCCCACTTTAAAGAGCTAAAGGCAGTTTTCCTGTCGTTTTGACTTGGAGCTTTCTGTCTCCTCCTTTATGATTAGTAAATAAAGATCTATTCATTCCTTGTGAGACTTATGCTCCTCTGTGGTAAAGTTGTTCAACTTCCAGCTGGCTGGTGCTGCAGAACTCAGGGAGTTGAGGGCCCAGGAAGAGGAGGAGGAGGACTCCACGAGCTCCTCTCCTCTGCCCTTGGATGTGGCTCTCACATGCTTACAGGGAGTTGCCAATTGCTCCAGCAGGGGGACGAGGGGGCGAAAGAGGACCATCATGAGGAAATGTGAGAAATGAATCCAGCCAGCACAAATGCTTTACAATTAAGTACAGAAGAGACTAAGCCCAGGGAGCTTATTCAGAAACAAGCATTTGATCACTAAGGGTTTCTTCCTGCTCTGATTGCCTTAGATGTAAGATTCTAAAGGTAGAAATGTAACTGACAACACTTCTGCTGTGAAACTGGGTCACCCACATAGGATCTGGTGACGTGTTTATATTTCCGAACATGCACAGAACTCAGAACATTTTCAAACATTTGCTTTAAAATAGTCTCATGATTGATTCTTCTAGGAAAATGGATCTTTTCTGCATCACTGAGTTAGGCCTTTTTGCATGACCCAGGCTCTGGTCCTTGGCTTCTCAATGTGCTTTCTGTGACTTTATTCCAGGAATACATAAATGATAGCGTATGTGTGATATTTGTCCCAATAAGAAATAAGTCAACATATTAAAGTTAAAGAAATTCGTCTCAACTTGAGTGGATCTTTAGTTTTTAGAAATACATAATGTTAAATCTGAAATGTCAGAATAAACTGCTAATAGAGACAGATTTGAAAACAAAACCAATTAAGACAGTTTGAGAGAACCAGAATTGCATTTGATATATTTTTTTCTCATTTGCTAAAAGGGTTTATCACACTGGGGACATAGGGAAAGTATACATTCATACAAGTAAAAATGGATGTTATTATGCTATTATAGTTATGCGGGCATGTTAGTTTTATTTATAATTTTAGTGACTTCTAAAATTTTGTGTCTGTGTGAAAGACAGAAAAATAAAACACTTTCTTTGCTCTATTATAGAGTTGGTGAACTTTAAGTTTTTGCCTATTTCTCATAAACTAGAAAAAATATATACAGTTCTGCAAAATGCAGTTCTATCTCTAACAGAGTTAAAAAGCTTTTAATGTGCATTTAATTAGCATGTAATTAACAAAAAATACATATCCTTAAATATAATTAATATTTTCATTTTAAGAAACTCATTAAGCTATATATGATATAGTTCATATTTCTAAATTAATACTTAAAAGCTACAGGAAAATCTAAAATTAAAAATTCTGCTTACATTTCAAATTTTCCATGAAAATTTTCATTTCATGTTTTCCCCCAAATTATTTTCCCCATAACTGCAAATTATCCAGAAAAGTTATCTTTGCATTTGACACAATGGAACATTTTTTAAAATAAACTAAAAATTCAAATGAAAGCAAATGGTTTCCAGTGTGTGTCCTTTTTTAGATTGATGTTGGCATTTTTAAAATAAGGAACTTAATCAACTGTAAGTTTTTTGTTGTTGTTTGTTTGTTTTTTGAGACACAGATCTTGGATCACTGCAACCTTTGCCTCCCAGGTTCAAGTGATTCTTGTGCCTTAGCCTCCCAAGTAACTGGGATTACAGGCGCCGTCACCACCCCTGGCTAATTTTTTTTTGCATTGTTAGTAGAGGCGCGGTTTTGCCTTGTTGGCCAGGCTGGTGTTGACCTCCTGACCTCAAGTGATCCACCTGCTTCAGCCTCCCAAAGTGCTGGGATTACAGGCATGAGCCACCACACCCCGCCCTCAACCATAAGTATTTGAATAATTAGTTGGCTCAGGAACAATCCCCTTTAGGTTTTTAACAATAACCTAAAATTTTTGGACAAATGGGTTTTCATCACTTTTAAGCGCAGATTCATGATTTAACAGAGGGTAGTATAAGAAATAATTTTCAATTTTCTTTCTACATATGAGTGAGGTTTTGCTATAGAAAAAAATAAGCCACTGACAAGTGATAGGCCCAAATTCTCTGCTTATCTATGACATGGGTAAATCATAAGTACTTGAAGCACAAAATTGCTAGACAATTTTACCTCGCTGAGCTATATATTTACAGCAGTCTGCAAAACCACCCATGGCAGCATAATGAAGTGGTGTGTTCCCATTTATCGAAATCAGCCCCACGTCTCCATTGTAGGCAAAAAGAAGCTTCAATATCTGTAAAATAAATAGTGGATATTGTGGAGGAATAGGAATGTACATTTACTATATAAAGACTGACAGCTAGACCGGCACTATCCAGTACAATATCAATTAGCCACGTATGACTATTGAAAATTCAAATTGAAATGAACTAAACTGAAAATATTTAAGTTTCATTTGTTTGTTTCACTAGCCACATTTAAAGTACTCAAAAGCCACATGGCCATTGTGTTGTACTGTGTTGTATAGCACAAACATAGAATATGCCCATCATCACCAAAAGTTCTATTAAATAGCATCGATCTAGAGTATAGAAAACTCTATACTTAGAGGGGGCACTACCATTTTTGTTAGTGTAGGTAATTTAAGAAAGCATCAGAGCATGGAAAACAGCATCCAAGGGGAAAATTCTTTACCAAACGTGGTTTCTATCTTTGTGTATACTTTTATTGCACGGAAAATAGTGATATAAATGAAGATAACTATGTTAAAACTCAAAGAAATTGAGTAAAGAAATTTCAGATGAAATTCAGAATTTAAAAAAATAGTGTTTTTATTTTGTTTCTGCAATGTTACTGTATCAGTGAGATATTCTTTGCTGTATGTTTAGATAATCAGAATACTTGAGTTTAAAATTCAGGTATATCATTATCTAATACACACAAACACCATGGAGATAAGAGTATGAGGGCATTGTTCTCCCATAATTAGATCATATTATATTTTGAAGACTCTAGTATGTAATGAAGTCATAAAATACAGTAGTCCCAGGTGGCAGAAGTTTTAAATTGTTATCATCGAGTGTACAGAAAAATACTATGAATAATATTAAATAAGTAAATTAGCAAACACATAAAACTAAATAAAGAGATGAAGTTTTTAAAAATATAATTTTAGAATTATTTGGGGAAATCAAGATGAAAACAACATAGGTAACTCAGAAAAATGTCTGCCTTAGCGTACTCTATATGACATATAAAAAAATTTGAGAAAAAGGACAGAAAAGTTTTAGCAACAAATTTTAAAGCAAAGAATAGATTATTACATCGAAAAAGCCTCCTTTAGCAGCAAAATGAGCAGCGTGATGCCTGTCGTTGTCAAATGCATTCACTTCACCTCCTCTTTCCAATATGCCTCGAACTATTTCCACTACCCCTTCTCTTGACGCTTCCATTAAAGCTGTGCGGCCTGTGGACTGGACATGAAATAGTCCAATATGAGATGCTGTTTATACCCATCATATTAAGTAGCAGAATCAGTACAAATACAGTCTGAATCCATTTGACCTTAGCTTTACACTTACAAGTTTAGTTCTCTACATTTTTCTTAGCTTCATGTAACAAAGAGGAAAAATTAAGCAAGTACAATGGGTCAGTATCCAAAACGTAGAATTCTAAAATCAGAGTCAAGGTCACACTGCATGCCCCTGTGAGAATATCATGCTAAAAAATGTATTTCTTGCAAATAGAGCAGAATAAAAAGGGAGAAAGAGAGATAAAATATCAACACCTAATATAAAATTAGGTCATAGGTGTTTTATAATGAGAAGAAAATCAATGTTTAGTGTCAAGAAAGGGCAATTACAAGAAAACTCAAAATAAGGAGAGTGAACGAAATTGATATAACAACAGAACTAGGCTGGGCATGCCTGTAATCCCAGCGCTTTGGAAGGCAGAGGTGGGCAGATCACTTGAGGCCAAGAATTCGAAATCAGCCTGGCCAACATGGTAAAACCCTGTCTCTACTAAAAATACAAAAAATAATTAGCGGGGCATGGTGGCATGCACCTGTAATCCCAGCTACTCGGGAGGCTGAGGCAGGAGAATTGCTTGAACCTGAGAGGCAGAGGTTGCAGTGAGCCAAGATTGGACCACTGCACTCCAACCTGGGCAACAGAGTGAGACGCTGTCTCCAAAAAAAAAAAAAAAAAAAAAAAGGAAAAGAAAAAGAAAAGAAACAGCAGAACTATATATTTTCTTTCTAAGAAGATAAATCCTATTAGGCATCAGCAATGCCTTTTTTTACTATTTCCTATAATGGTACCTTGACATTATGCATAATAAATACCAAGTTTCCAAACATAATTAGGAAACAGACTGTAGAATCACAGCAATATGAAGATAATAAACGTATACCATCTTCAAGCATTTTGAATCAAAATGAACAGTCTATCAGCTAACAGGATAATGTCATCATATTTAAATGAAAAGATTATACTATGCTGTAATTGAAACAAGAAATATTTGTAATCACAAGAATAGCCATACTGAGTTGATTGCATTAGGATTGGCTCCTTTTTCCAAAAATGTCAGGCACACATCTTTAACATCATGTGCATCTTCACAAGCTCTAAGGAATATTGGCTTTCCTTCATAGGTAGAATTGTTGACATCTGCACCATGTTCAAGGGCGATCAGAGCACAGCGATAATGCCGCTTAGTCGGTAAAATGCAGTAAAACAAAACACCTGCAGAGAAATAAAATCCCCAGAGAGTATTTAACATCTATACATATTTGACAGGAAGGAAAGTAAAATTATTAAAAATCCATATTTAGCTAGTTAAAGGCATATCTGCCTCAGTTTCCTCTCTGAAACCAACTAAAACACCAAGACAGAAAACAAAAAACAAAAAATCTTAATTCCTGACATCGTTAGAAAACAGTCACAACCACATATGATAGGACCTGGCTTATGGAAGAATTGGAGCGCTGATAGGTGAACCCTGTTGACCCTGAGTATTTGGCATCTTGCAATACGTACCCTGAGTGTCCCTTCTTGGAATGTGAAGGGCTACAGCTATGTGTGCCAAAGGGCTACTGGTAAGTCCCCCGGTCCCCTCTAAAACTGCAGAATGGCAAAAGAGATGGTACTGGGTGATGAAATGTGTAGACTGACCATGTTTGTAAGAAGCAGGCTGTCGGTATAGCAGTAAAGAGGTGAATTAGATGCCAAGTGGCTAATTAGATGGCAAGTGCCTCTGCCATTTTAGCAAATCATTTTGTTCCGTTGGAGAAAGGAACATGCTAAATCCCTACACCCAGGACCTGTAACATACAGGCCTTCAATATAATCCATGTCAAAAGCATACTACACATCAGGGTTACTGTTATAAACCCAGGGCAGAGTGTTACTAAGAAAGTCCTAGGTAAATAACAATCAGACTCCAAACTGACTTTGTAACGAGTTCATTCCAAAAAAGGGACTCCATTCAAAGAATAACCAAAAAAGAAACCACTATGCAACCTATTAAAAAAAAATACTGCAAGGAAAAAGGAAACTGATACTGAAAGCCACGCAAAAAGGATACATACTAGAAAAGATATACCAGTGAAAATTACTGGCTAATTCATTTCCATGATAGCAAAGAAACTAAATATAACTTGTTCTAAAATGAAAGTGCAAAGATAGACCTGAATCTTAAGATTAAAAGGGTACGTTGGGTCTTAGGAAAAGTTGATTAAGAACAGTCAACAAGGCATGCCTAGGTAAAGCTAGGCAAAGAAAGTGTCTCATAAGAATCCAGGCAAAAATTCAACTAATCCATGAAGGGGAAAAGTCCAGCTGCCCTCAAAAATTTATCACAACAACATTCAATGCTACAGTATAATCAAAGGATCTCTACACTATAACTTGGGGAAAAAAAACAGGAAACTTTTATACCCAATCAAGACTTTGTTCATGTAAAAACAACAGACATGTATAGTCTTAAGGATATAAGTAATCAGGGATACAAGCCCAAAGAAGTGACTTAAACTACTTGATGGCAAAAGTGAGTTTTCCAAGAGATCAATAGAGAATATGTGACTAAAAGAACAGTCATAAATACTGAATCTCTTTAGCCACAGAACCAAAGCTAAGTCACCTTAGCAATTTTAGATAGAGAAAAATATATTGCAATTTGTAATAATGTAAAAATAATATAATTTATCAAAAATTTGAGGGAAGGAAGGAGAAATAGTATAAGTATTTGATCTTCTCATCTTTTAGGGCTAAGACTGAGATATTATGTAAAGCAGGTAAGGAAATAAAGTACAAGGTACTTATTATTTAAAAGGGAATCATTGAAAGAACTAAGTAATTATAATTGAGTATAAAATTGAGTGGTAGAAGGGAAGTAGCAGAGGTAAGAGGAAGGGTTATTGTACTAATCTTATCTAATTTATACTATTGTACTAATCTTACTAAACAGAGTAAAGAATCAATGAATACTGTTTAAGATGCTAACTCAATAAACAGGTTTAAGGGCATATGAAGTATCAAGTTAACCATTAAAATAACTAAAAAAAAATAAAAAAACTAAAATAACTAAAAAGCCCATCAATTTTAGAAAATACACTTACAAGCATATAAAGAAAAACACACATATACAGCAAAGTAAAACAAATCTATGGACCATATATGACAATACTTTCACATGTATTTTATATATTAGATATATTTTGCCTTCACAATATAAAATAAATGATGTTTCTGAAACCAACCCTATGGGAAATCTAGATAACTATAAATTGGATAAATTCCACCATTAAAATAAAAAATAAAATGTATATGAAAATCAAAACCTAAATATATTTTATATAAACTGATGTACCTAAAGTAGGGTTACTCAGAACAGTTAAAAAAAAAAAGAAAAGATTGTCAAGGTTATTATTGAAAAGAGAAAGTCAAAGAAAGAGCAAGACATAGAAGGCAGGAACAGAGCAAAACAACAACAGCAACAGCAAAACAACCTAAGCATAATACCCGAGGAGGCTGAATTCATTACAAAAGGCCCAGAGCCACTTATGAAATGAATATTTCATAATGATGGCATGTGCAACACACAGTTAAAGTGTATCTGGGCTGACTCCTTAAGCCACAAAGAACACGAATCAGCATTCCTAAATTGAAGGGAAAACAGTTTGAAAAATATTGTACCTTATCATAGAACTGGCATACGGCATTGAGGACTGAGTACACATGCCTGTAAATGCAAAAACCAATGGAATGGGAATGGGTGCTATAAGGAACTATTATAGCTTAACTTTTAAGGAGAATGATTCCACATTGTAATTAATTCCCTAGGACAACATACAAGAAAGAATGTATTGGCTTAGAGCTTTACCTTCTCCATATTCTGTAAAACTGTTCCAAGAGAAAGTGCCGCTTAGGCCTAGGGCATGTCTCACATCCTAAAGACCCACTTAGCCATTTAAATGTTTGCTTATCCTTTAGGAACGATGTACAGTGAGTCAAACATGAGTCACCAGAAAATAGGATGTCAATGACAGAGAGGGTACTGTGGAATAAGCAAAGCACTTTGGCCACTGGCAGCCAAACTGAGGGATGTGCAAGCTGAGTGAGCCTTGTTGATGTGGGAAGAGACAATGTACTCTGTACAATGGGCACTACCTTGGGTTATGCAGAGTGAGGGCTGCAGGCAGCCATCCTAACAAGCTTATGTGTGAAACAAGATTTTACATTTGTTTCCTTTTATAGTTTCAGTTCTGCCCATGAGATTTGTTTCCTTTAGCCATATGCCTGTTGCATTTGCTGCAAGTATTTACTTGACCTTGTTTCCAATTTTACCTTGATTTTTTAAAAAAAATTTACACTTTTACATTGTTACACTATAGAATTTCTTTTTTCTTTGTGATTTGTATCTGTTTCAAACTCAGTAAGTTAAACGTTTCTCTATTATAGTGTTTCCCAAAGGTTAGTCCACAAAACTCCAGGCATATAAGATGTCATTAAAAAAAATTATTTTGTGGTCAAATAAATATGGAAAATGTCACCATTTTTGAGCCAACAATGTGAAAGATAAATGCCTAAAATGTGTCTCTAATGAATGCGACCGTGGAACCAATTTTGCCTGTAGTACTTCTCAACATCCTGGCAATTCAGTGGTCCATGGAACACACTTTGGGAAATGGTATACTATAGAGCTTTGAGAGGATACCGTTTTTTCAGGATTTAGCATTTCAAAGTACATCTGGCCCCTGAATGCATCTGAAGTTTATTTTCTTACGTGGTACAATTAAATATGTAATTATCCCTTTTCTTTGTCCTCTTTTGTTCTAAGCAAGTAATCATATCAAACACCAAGTCTGGAGAGAGTTAGAAAAGTAGATTTTGCTCTTGTCAGTAAATATTCACATTATCAAATGAGATTCATTTCTCGATTGCAGAGCTGATGTTAATGGCCTTGTATCTGCAGAAACTCAGGACAACTGCTCAAACCTATCAGTTTACATTAAGCTTATTGGTAATTATCTCAGTTATTTTTATGAGGCTGTGTCAATTCTTGCCTGAACCTTAAGTTATTTGGGCAAGAAGTCCTCAGACCATGGTCTTGAGATGATGGGATTAACGGTGTGGAAGTGCAGTTGTTTGATCTGAATCATTGTTGAAAGGTCATGTCTAAAGTTTGAAGTTGTATTTCCAAATACATTTTTAAATGATCCTAGAAAGTTGGAGTTTATGCCAGAATTGACTTTAGTCCTTTCAAGTTTCCAAGTGCAAGTCCTTCCTACATCAGACTGCTATTGAGGGGGTCAAAATCCTTTTGGAGTCCTAGGTGTAGTACTGCCTGAAATTCTAAAATGTAAAAAAGAATAAGAAATGCTCTACTTCATCTTTGTTTTAAAGAAGAGTTTATAATTTATAATGAATAATCAGTGTGTATAATGTTCAAAATTCTCCTCATTTAAAAGAAACCACCAAACACAAATTAATCTAAGTATATGAGCAAGCTCTCATAAATGATTTCCCTAAGATATAGCTATCTCATTTTCAAAGTATGAGGAGACAGTAGGTTTAGGTATAGGAGTGAGAATTTAGCCTTTCCCTTAAAACCATAAGTAATTCACTTCTAAAGTTGGAAAACAAAAAGAGTCCATGTTATTGCTTTCTGGCTACAAAATGAATTGCAATCTGCTGGAGAGGATGTCGGGATTTTTACCTTTTCCTTCATTATCAACTATAGTCATATCAGCCTTTGCCTTTGCTAATATTTCCATTGACAATTCATGGCCCAGTTCTGCAGCCCTCATTGTGGGAGTACAGCCCATTCGGTCTTGCACATCAGGGTGAGCACCAAGGTCAAGGAGAAAGCTGACCATATCAATATCATTGGAAACTGAGGCTAAGTGCAAAGCACTAAGTCCATTAATGGGTTCTGTATAATTGATTAGTTCAGGGTATCCAAGCTTGGTCAGCTTCTCTATCTGCTTCTTGTCTTTGTTCCGCACACATTGAAGAACTTTGTAGATCTGTAAGTTCTCAAGTCTCTTATCTGCTAAAGCCATGCTTGACCAGCTCCTTGAAAATGCTTTCTGGACCAAAACTAAAGCTGAAGCAACAAAAAAGAAAAATAACTCAAAGTTAATTTTATCATCTTCATTTTGATTAAATAACAATATTTTGGAACTTCCTTAAGAACAGAGATTGTTTTTTAAGAAATGTTCAGAAAGTAGGATTTATACATAAATATCAAAAATATTGAGTGGGCATAAAGTTAAAACAGTTCAAACAAATCTTCCATCATAATTAAAAATAGTTTGCCAGGTGGTTTTCTTATTATCCATTTAACCTTCCCTCCTCATCACACTTTACCATTTTACCATGAAGAAGCTGAGGTTAACTAAATTGCCATGGT
Organism: Homo sapiens; assembly: GCF_000001405.40. NCBI lineage: Eukaryota > Metazoa > Chordata > Mammalia > Primates > Hominidae > Homo > Homo sapiens. The sequence goes on along the minus strand of NC_000020.11, from coordinate 10,037,951 downwards.
AAGGGTTTGAGTTCCCACCATCTATCTACATGGTTTCACACCAGCAAAATAGAGAGATCATGCAGGTTTTAATAGTTTTAAGGTGTTATAAAAACATATAATTTTGAGGTGTTCATTATAAACAAATCTACTGGGCTCTGTAACATATCAGAGATGTGATGAGTGATTCCTATGTCATCTTAAGTGGAAAAGATGTAGTTAAATGGCTGCAAGGAAACTGCAAATCTTCATAAACAATCTCCCTGTTAAATTGTGATGGGCATTCTAGTATGTAATTTTACCTCCTTGTACGGAAAATCTTTTGGATTGAGTAGCAGGCCATGCTAGGTATGACCAGTTGTTTCTTCATTTCTTATGAGAAAAGAACTCCATTATCACATAGGGAATCCTATCCGGGTCGTTTGGATGGGGCTGTCCCTTCTGTCCCCTGCCAGAGGAAAGCGTCTGTGGCCTAGGCTTGGCCCATTTGAGGGAACCATCCCTTTCCAGGTACACTGAAGCTCAAGCATATGTGCATAAAAGACATCAACCAATCAGCAGCCCATCATCCAGAACTATGAGGGAAGACTATTCTGCTGAAGTTGTTAAGCAGTATGGTGTGGGGCTGGGGCGCAGGTAGCTCTCTTGGGTGCCACAGAGAGAGTCCATGCTTGGAGGATGGAGAGAGACTGAGATTGATGGCATTAGTTGCAACATGGATTCCATGGTGCCAGAAGCCATCTACCACTTTGTGGGTAAATACATCTTCTCCCCCGTCACCTTATTTTGGTATAAGCTAGTTAGCTAAGTTTCCAACATTTGCAATGAAAAGATTCCATCTTACTACAAAAGTTGAAACTATGCACCATTTTTCTCCATCGCAAGCCTGCTCCCTCACCTACATTCTCTACGGCAGTGAGCTCTCTCTCCTTTAAATGTGTCTCTCTAGGCACCACAACATCTCCATCGCCTGCTTCCATCCAACACCAATGCCCCCTCCTGCTCAGGCTCCTTTGCTGACTCCCCATTTCAAGAAGCCTATGTTGGGTGCCCAGGGCTAGGTCCTCAAGACTCTTTTCTGTCCTCACACACTCCCCTGGTGTCTCGCCCTATCCCATGACCCTCGACCCTCAGCCCAACTCTCACTCTGTCACCCAGGCTGGAGTGTAGTGGCACAATCTCGGCTCACTGCAACCTCCACCTCCTGGGTTCAAGCGATTCTCCTGCCTCAGCCTCCCGAGTAGCTGGGATTACAGGTGCCCACCACCACACCTGGCTAATTTTTGTATTTTTAGTAAAGACAGGGTTTCACCATGTTGGCCAGGCTGATCTTGAACTCTTGACCTCAGGTGATCCACCCGCCTCAGCCTCCCAAAGTGTTGGGACTACAGGCGTGAGCCACCGGGCCAGGCCTCCTTTGCCTTTTAATCTGTTTATAACATGCGGTGGACTAGGGAACCAACTGAGGCTGCCTCAGAGTCATCCACTTGGACTTTGCTGCACGGCTTGGTGACACTCACCTTAGCTGCTATTTATGGCTTGTTTTATTATTATCGGCCATATTCCGATTAGGTGCGGTGTCATCATACTGCATATGTATATGTGTCATCTATGGAATAGGGCAAGATGCTCCTACATAGGTAATGATTAGACTGAATCAATGCCACTTGATTTGTGAAAATAAGGATTTCCCAATCAGGGACTTCAATGTTGCCTCTGTTAGCACCCATCTCTAACGGAGAATTAATTAGCAGCTACAGTGATGAATTCAGTAGGTCCATGGGTCGGTTTCCTGTGGACTGCCTCCCTCCCAGCTAAAGCCCTGAAGTGCTGGGGAGAGGGCAGCACCCTGTATAGTGTCCTTCACAATCAACTGCTAAGACTGACCAAGAGCTCACCCCACTGCAGGAAATCACACAAGTGTAGCCCTTGGGTCCTGGGTTCCTTGTAAATTGAGCAGCATATAGGATCCTCCACATACAAGCACACCTGTACTTTTCCCCAGCATGACCCTGGGCCACCTTAGTCACATCTAACCATCTACCAAGGTAGTGGAATAGAGCAGAATGTCTTGACTTGAGGTCCATGTTCGGGGTCTGAATACTCGGAAATTACATGAAAATCTGTGGGAATCTGTGTGTGTTCAGGTCATTTAACTCTCAAAGGGGGGCTGTGCGACAAGGAAGGATCATTAGAAAGAGGAATGGAGGAAGACAAGCTTGGTACAGTGGAATGTAGGGTTTGAGGTGGGGAAATCCGTTGTGATCCTCCCTTCCCTGTATCATTATTTACACAAACTAGTTGGATATAAATATGGATATGCTACCTACCTAGTTTTTACCTCAGTTTCTGCATCTGTGAACTGGCAATAGCAATGGTGCCCACTTCATGGGACTGTGTGAAAAGGAAATGAGATATGATCCTTGTAAAACATTTAGCAAAGTCCTTCAATATAGGCTCCTTATGAATACACCAAACTTTTGCGGGTTTCAGCTCACCCACAAGTGTAAGCGATAGTTTACATGTTGGGGGTTCTCTACTGTGCTTTCCACTTTTTAGTCTCCAGAAAAATCTGGAGAAGAGAGGAGTGGAGGGGGTAGAGATGTAACGTCAAAGGAAAAGCCATGTGTCATGCTCACCTCTTAGTCTTCCGGGCGATCAGAAGCCAGGGATCTCTGGGCACCTATGTGCCTGGGCCTGCTGGGGCGACCGGGGAGGCCCCTGCTCTCGTCCTCTGACGCTCAGCGCTGGCCCAGCCGCGACCTTGGGCTCCCGGAGCCCGGCGGAGGCGCCCAGGCGTGAATGATGTCCCTTGGGTAGGGCTGGTGAGCTGGCGCGCGGGACAGCAGGGCTGGGTGTATGTGTCCATGGGCCCCGGGTCCCCGGAAGGCGAGCGCGCGGGCAGGTGAGCGCAGGGGGCGGGGTGGAAGCCGGAGGGACCGGGCTGATTGTGAGCTTCCGCCACGCAGGGCGCGGCTGCCGGGGCAACCGCAGCGTGCGCGGTGGGGCGGTGCTCGCCTCCGCCTCCGCCTCCGCCTCCGCCTCCGCCTCCGCCTCCGCCTCCGCCTCCGCCCCCGCCCCCGCCTCCGCCTCCGCCCCTCGCGCCTGGCTTCGACGCCAGGTGGCCGGCCTGGGCGGGATGGGGTAGCTGCGCTGGGTGTTCCAGGGCGGAGCGCAGAATGCTGCTGTCTTGAGGATTCCGCCCTTCTCTCATTCTCTTCTCCCACCTCCTGCCCTGGGTCAGAACGTAATTTAGTTATAAAATTAAAGCTGCATATGGCAATTAAAAAATGAAGTAAAATATACAATAAATATTTAGTTTACAAAGTACAATTAAATGAAAAATACAATAAATTACACAATAAAGCGAAAGTGAACCTACTCTCAACTGCCACAGATTCTTGCAAATCTTCCCAGAAATTTTCTTTCCATACTCTAGGATGCATATATGCTTAAAAAATATTTATACACAAATGGAAGCAAATATGGAGATCACTTTATTTCAGGGCCTACAAATGCACCATAACACCCCTCTCTCTCCCTCCACACATGCTTTTTGGCGGAAAATTCTGAAAGCTTTGGTTTGATTATGTGAATGTAAAACATATATATGTGTGTCTATATATATATGCTTTTTAATGCAGTATGTAATTGCTTCCAATTAAAAACAGTAATTCCTTACACCAGCCTACCCTATTCTACTCAGAGACTGTTTAAAAATGTTAAGAGCGAAGACATGGAATCAACCTAAGTGCTCATCAATGATAGACTGGCTAAAGATAATGCGGTACATATACACCATGGAATACTATGCAACCATATAAAGGAACAAAATTATGTCTTTTGCAGGAATATGGAGCTGGAGGCAATTATCCTTGGCAAGCTAACGCAGAAACAGAAAACCCAATACTGCATGTTCTCACTTATGAGTGAGAGCTAAGTGATGAGAACACATGGACACATAGAGGGGAACAGCACACACTGGGGCCTATTGGAGGGTAGAAGGTGGAGAGTGGGAGGAGGGAGAGGATCAAGAGAAATAACTAATGGGTACTAATCTTAATACCTGGGTGAGAAAATAATTTGTGCAACAAAACCACATGACACAAGTTTACCTATATAACAAATCTGCACATGTACCCCTGAACTTAAACGTCAAATAAAAAATAATAAAAATGTTATTAAGGACTATTTCATGCACACCAAAATATACTGTATGATATATGGAAAGTACATACCATACCATACCATAGCTAAAGAAATACCATAGCTAAAGAAAAAGAAAGCTAGGAAAAATAAAGGAAAAAGGAAAAGGAAAAAAAAGTCTGCCTCTACTGCTGTACTTATATGTATTTCTTCCCAACACTGCATCCTCCTCTTCCTGTTCCCAGAGATAATACCTGTTCTGAATTTTACATTTATCATCCCAGCCTCTTAAAAATGCATTGCTACATTGAATGCCTCCCTAAATAATGCATGTTTAATATTGCATATTTTGAGAATTTATAAAAATGTGGTAGAATGTTGTGTATTGTTTTGATGACTTTTTTCCTTTCAACGTCTTGTTTTTGAAATGTATCTTTGTTGGTATGTTTAATTGGAGTTCCTTTATCTAAACAGCTGTAGGCTATTCCATTATATTACCATTCCACACCCCTTTCAAATCAATTCCACTATTGATAGACATTTGGGATGTTTCCAGAATTTGCTACTAAAAGCAATACTACTAAGATCATGTTTATAAATGTCTTTGGACGCACACGTTCAAGAGTTTCACTAGAGTATATGTCTAGGAGTTAAATTTCTGGGTCATAGGTTATTTATAACATCAAGATAAAGACAACTTGTTTTCCCGACATATACAGCAATTTAGACTCCCATCAGCAGTGTGTATCTTAGCCAAAACTTGGTTTTGTCACACAAAAAACTTTCTGCCAATCTTGGTATCAATGCTCTTTTATAATTTACTTTACGTGACCTGATTACTAATTATTAATCTGTAAGTTTGATTCCTTAGAGATATTTGAGTGTAAATTTATTGTCAAACTGTGTCCAAAATTGGTGGGTTCTTGGTCTCACTGACTTCAAGAATGAAGCCAGGGACCCTCGCGGTGAGTGTTACAGCTCTTAATGTGGCGCATCTGGAGTTTGTTCCTTCTGATGTTCGGATGTGTTCGGAGTTTCTTCCTTCTGGTGGGTTCGTGGTCTCGCTGGCTCAGGAGTGAAGCTGCAGACCTTCACGGTGAGTGTTACAGCTCTTAAGGCGGCGCTTCTGGAGTTGTTGGTTCCTCCTGGTGGGCTCGTGGTCTCGCTGGCTTCAGGAGTGAAGCTGCAGACCTTCGCAGTGAGTGTTACAGCTCATAAAAGCAGTGTGGACCCCAAGAGTGAGCAGCAGCAAGATTTATTGCAAACAGTGAAAGAACAAACCTTCCACAGTGTGGAAGGGAACCCAAGCGGGTTGCCACTGCTGGCTCAGGCAGCCTGCTTTTATGCTCTTATCTGGCCCCACCCACATCCTGCTGATTGGTAGAGCCGAGTCCTCTGTTTTGACAGGGCGCTGATTGGTGCGTTTACAATCCCTGAGCTACACCCAAAGGTTCTCCATGTCCCCACCAGATTAGCTGGCTACAGAGTGTGGACACAAAGGTTCTCCAAAGCCCCACCAGAGTAGCTAGATACAGAGTGTGGCTTGGTGCGTTCACAAACACTAAGCTAGACACAGGGTGCTGATTGGTGTGTTTACAAACCTTGAGCTAGATACGGAGTGCCGATTGGTGTATTTACAATCCCTGAGCTAGACATAAAGGTTCTCCACGTCCCCACCAGACTCAGGAGCCCAGCTGGCTTCCCCCAGTGAATCCCGCACGAGAGCTGCAGGTGGAGCTGCCTGCCAGTCCCGCGCCGTGCGCCCGCACTCCTCAGCTCTTGGGTGGTCGATGGGACTGGGCGCCGTGGAGCAGGGGGTGGTGCTCATCGGGGAGGCTCGGGCGCACGGGAGCCCATGGAGGGGGTGGGAGCTCAGGCATGGCGGGCTGCAGGTCCCGAGCACCCCCCGCGCGAAGGCAGCTAAGGCCCGGTGAGAAATTGAGCGCAGCGCCTGTGAGCTGGCACTGCTGGGGGACGGAGTACACCCTCCGCAGCTGCTGGCCCGGGTGCTAAGCCTCTCATTGCCTGGGGCTGGAAGGGCTGGCCGGCTGCTCCGAGTGCGGGGCCCGCCAAGCCCACGCCCACCCAGAACTCCAGCTGGCCCGCAAACGCCGTGCGCAGCCCCGGTTGCCGCTCGCGCCTCTCCCTCCACACCTCCCTGCAAGCTGAGGGAGCCGGCTCCGGCCTTGGCCAGCCCAGAAAGGGGCTCCCACAGTGCAGTGGTGGGCTGAAGGGCTCCTCAAGTGCCGCCAAAGTGGGAGCCCAGGCAGAGGAGGCGCCTGGAGCCAGCGAGGGCTGTGAGGACTGCCAGCACGCTGTCACCTCTCAAAGCTACCCTATTCACTCTCAACTACTTACCACATAACTCTCAGATTATTTTAACAGAACCAGGGCACCGTTTCTTGAACTACTGTTTCTCAGTGTAGGCAAAGCCTCACATTTGAGTTTTTTTTGACATAATGGAGCCTAGAAGTCACTCAGGTTCCTTGGGTCTCAGTTGTAAAATCAGAATAGTATGAACTGCCCTCACAAGCCGTAAAAGAAGTATGCATAACAATGACATAAGCTCCATCTTGGCTCTGTGGTTGATTCTTGGGGAATACTTCTGTGGATAAACAGTTCCAACTATGTATTATAGGTCATCAATAGATCTTTCCAATGATAATCTTCCCCATGTTTGGAGACAAAGTTGGTATCAGTAACAACCTTGTTTCTGTTCTGGAGAAAGTTCCTGAAATTATTTGAGAATCTGGTAGATTTTGGAGGAAACACATCTAGAAGACTGAAAGGAGTAGATTAATAATGTGTGAACTCTGCTTGGGTCATATCAGAACTACTGGCGCAAATATTTTGAATAGAAGTTGGGTAAGCATTTGCTGTTTGATTGAGACCTTGGAGATAAGCATGTGGTCCGATTCACTCTCCTAACTTTGTTTTAGGGAATTTTTTTTTTTTTTCCCTGAAGGGGTACTGAGTTTCATGAAATAATCTTTGATTTTATAATCAGGTAACTGAATAGTAGAACAATAGATAAACACATTTAATTTCAATCTTTTTAACCTAGGGAGGCTACTAAAGTCGTTATTGCTGAACTATTTAAATAACAGCTTCATGCTAATGAGGGGACAGGCAGGGCATGGGTAAAGTTTTGGAAATCCCAGATTCATAATTAAACACAACCTTTCTCCTCTTTCACCAGAGGAGAACTGAGAACACTGCAGAGCCTTCTTAACTTGAACTTTATCATTTTTGCCCTGAGCTATCTGGCAGTAGAGTTGTCAGAATTTGGACAACACAAAGGAAAAATGGGAGGAAGGGGTATTAAATATTCCTACTGCTCAAAACATAGCTAGTTGGGAGGTGACAGAAAAGTACACGTTGTTCTTGCCAATGACTTACGATACAAACTGATACACTGGCTAAATTCTCTAATAACCTAACTTGTGCTTCTATCTTTGTCTGGTATTAAACCAATTTTTATCTTTAAATTACAACTATTCAAAGGGCTTGCAAATTTAATACTTCTTACATAGTCCTAGGCATTCTGCAAAATGCTTGGCAAATTAAATGTGATTCTATTGAATAACCTCACATATTTTTATAAAAATTTTTCTTAAAATCCAATAAGAAACTTCATTTGCTATCACAAGCCCTTAAACTCTTATTTACTGGTCTGAATAGCAGGCTATAGAGCTGTTGTTTTATAACAGCAATTATAGTCATTAATTTAAATTAGAAGATAATTGAAGTATGAATTAGAAACTGGTATGGCATACTACTGGGTGATAACATATTTAATTGGAAATAAAATTTGATTACTCATTATGGAACTTTTTATAAGATCGAGCTAAGATTAGTAGAGTTTTATTATTGTTGTTTTCTTTTCATAATTATTTACAAAATTCATATCCTATGGTGCTCAGGTTTTAAAATTTTTTCTTCTAAAATGAACAAAACTTTTCAGGATGGCTTTGTGTTATGGGGAAGTCTATTTGCCATTTTACACTGTGCAGTGATTTAGAACTTTATTTATTGTACAAGTAAATGATGGATTGATAACATATTTAGTTGTTTCCTTCCAAAAGAGAAATGAAAACATGTCAACTAATGTTTGAAATGGGAAATAAATTAGTTGACAACATAGAGCACTACTTAATACTTCCATTAAGAAATTGTTTTGACTCCTTTATATTGGAACAATTACAGAACAGCTCTTGAATGAATGAGAGTTGAATAGTATTACTTCAGAATATGAGCCTTTTGTAGATAAATATATTCATATCAGGATCTGCACTTTTCTTTGGCTTAAATAAAGTAAAGCCTCTTTAAGATTGCATGGGGGAGTTTTTGTGAATTTGAAATAAATATCTCAAAAGCTGTCTTGCTATGAGCATATTTTCATTCTTTGTAGGCTACTGAATCTTGGTTCTTCTGAATTCTCTTATCGGTTCCTAAGAACTTTCCTCCTTCTTCTGTCGTCTAGAATATTTAAAATATAAGTGGAACTATTTATTCTTTAAGGATAGACAGAATACAGCTATGAAATCTGGTCTGGTCTGCTTTCTGCCCTTCCTTCCTTCCTTCCTTCTTCTCTCTCTCTCTCTCTCTCTCTCTCTCTCTCTCTCTCTCTCTCTTTCTTTCTCTCTTCTGGAGGGCACTGGCACAATCATAGCTCACTGTAGCCTTGAACTTCTGGACTTCTGGGCTCAAGTGATCTTTCTGCCTCAGCCACCCATGTAGCTAGGGCTACAGGCATGAGCCACCATGCCCAGCTTGCTCTTTAGAGGGTACATTTTTAATCATCTTTCCAAACTCTTGCATGAAACTTGATCTATTCCTGTTTTCTACTTCAGAATAAGGTCAATTTTCATTATTTGTAATTTGTTACACAATCTTCTGTGTCCTCTCAGTTTTCAAATTTATTGCCATGTAACTGCAATTCTTTGAAACTTCTTTGATTGTGAAGTTATATCTCCTTTCTTAATACATACACACACACGTACACAAACTTTTTTTCTTTAATCTGAACCATAAGGCTTTCTGTTTTACAGATTCTTTAAAAGAGCAGATTTTTAAAATCCTTTTTATCCTTTCTAATATATTTTATTGTTTTCTATTTCATGAAATTCAGTAATTTTGCCTTTATTTCTTAGTAGTATATTTCACTTCATTTGCTTTTTTCCTAATTTCCTAGGATAAAAACTATTTTTTTCTTTCATTTACTTTATTAATGTAAGCATTTAAGGCTATACATTCTCCCCTGAACACAGTTTCATCTGTGTCTCATAGGTTTTGGATTTAGTGTTCTTTAAATTGCTTCCTAGAAAATTAGTAACATTAGTTGTGATTTTCTCTTTGATGTGGAGAGGATGTTTCTTAATTTGCAAGTACTTAAACTTTAGGCCACCTTTAAATCATTTATCTTCAACAGCCTATGATCAGATAATATGTCTATTAAATCCCGATTTTTTAGAAAAGGTGTGTGTGTGTGTGTGTGTGTGTGTGTGTGTGTGTGTGTGTGTGTTTAAATATATAATTGATTTTTTTTTTTTTGAGACGGTGTCTCACTCTGTCGCCCAGGCTGGAGTACAGTGGTGCAATCTCTGCTCACTGCAAGCTCCGCCTCCTGGGTTCACGCCATTCTCCTGCCTCAGCCTCCCGAGTAGCTGGGACTACAGGTTCCAGCCACCACGCCCAGCTAATTTTTTTTTTTTTTGTATTTTTAGTAGAGACGGGGTTTCACTGTGTTAGCCAGGATGGTCTCGATCTCCTGACCTCGTGATCCACCTGCCTTGGCCTCCCAAAGTGCTGGGATTACAGGCGTGGGCCACTGCACCCGGCCATATATAATTGATTTTAAGAACTATTTCATAGGCATAAAGTATACTATCTGGAAAATGAATATATGTAATCAACTTTGTTGTGTTGTTCTATTTTCCTAAATATTTGATTATATTTAAATTTACCACATCAGCCTAATTTTTATATGTTAAATCCCTTGTAATCAGTGTATTTTAATCAAAGTCATCTTATATTTCTAGTAATTTTTAATTAATGTATTTTGTGGCCATACTGTTTGTGCATATAGATTTATGTCATCTGCTTCCTAACTTTTGCCACTGTAACTCTATGTCATCCTTTTCCTTAGGTAATGTCCGTAGCCTTTAATTTCTCCTTGTTTAACATTTATTTCTTTTTGCTTGCCTTGCCTCAAATCTCTTATTTTTAATCTTTCATTATCAATTTGTTTATAAGAATGTTTCTGATAAATACTATATAGCTAACTTTTTGTTCTTATTTAATCCAATTTGACTTTCTCTGTTTTTTTAATGAGAGAATCTGGTATATTAATATTTAGTGTAACAAATGATATACTTGATTTTATTTTTTCAGTCTCATTGATTGCTTATTATCTAGATTATTCTACTATGACATCTTTTTTTTTATTTTTATCAATTTGGTCTTCAAGTCCCTCCTAACTTGGAGAATCTGATTAACTTTTTCATCTCATTAATAATCACCTTCCGTTCTCAGGCATTAATAGTCAAACATTTATTTTCTTTTAAATAAAATAAGGTAACTCTTTGTGCCCATTTCTAGATGCTTGATTCTCCCAGTCCTTTCCCAACCTAAAAAAGCATTTTGTCTTCTACTTCCCCATTTTGTTTTCTTCTCCTAGATGAGATCTTGAGAATGACCTTACATCCCTCCAACCTTCTACCCAGCCCTAAGTCTTTAGTTTGGCCAAGATAAGTTAGAACTTCTAATTCCATATAACTATGGTACTGTCACTGGCAGTATGAATGCTCCATGTGAATGCATATGCCAGATTTGAAGGGAATCTTTCTTTCTTTTTTAATTGAAAAGCAGTTAGATTCACATTGTGGTTATGAGTTTGGGTGCTTGTATCAGACTACATGGATTTTTTTCTCAAAGGTGTTGCTTGCTAACTGTGTAAACTTGGACAAGTTAAATAAATTTTTTTGTGCTTCTGTGAAAAGAAGAATTATATTGTGGTTGTTCAAAATATCCATACATTCTTCAACTCTCACCCAAAAAACTGGAGCCTCATTCTCCTTCACTTTTCTGTTTGGTGAATTTAGTCTCTCACTTCTGGTGAATGGGATACAGTGGAAGTGACAGCATGCCTTCTAACTCTCTCTTTCTCTCTCTCTCAGAATGTTCACTCTGGGGGAAGCCAGCTGCCACGCTGTAAGGACACTCGGGCAGTCCTATGAAGAGGCCCGTGTGGTGAGAAAGAGAGGCCTCCAGCCAACAGCCATGTGAGTGGGCCATTGAGGAAGCAGCCTCAGTGCCTGCAGCCCTGACTGGCATCCTGAACTACCACCTTAAATGAGACCCTGAGCCAGAGTCACTACTTCCAAATTCTTGACCCACAGAAATTGTGAAATAATATTTGTTGTTTTAAGCCGCCAAGTTTTGGGAGTAATTTGTTATATAGCAAAAGATAATTAATACATTCACTTCCTAAGATTATGGTGAAGAATTAAGGATACAGCATGAAAAGAACTTTGCTATTATTTTTATTATCTGATCCAATTTATGTTGAAGGGCCTTCAGTACTTTCTTCTTTTACTCTATCTTGACATTTGTCTGAAACATTTTTGTTTGTTTGTTTGTTTGTTTGTTTGTTTTTTAGAGATGGGGTCTTGCTATGTTTCCCAGTTGGAGTGCAGTGATTATTCACAGACATGATCCCACTACTGATCAGCATGGGAGTTTTCACCTGCTCCATTTCCCACCTGGGAGGTCATCATATTGATGGCGAGCTAAGTGTGGACACCTGATCAGCATAGCACAGTACAGCCCAGAACCCCTGGGCTCCAGTGATCCTCTTACTTCAGCCTCTTGAGTAGCTGGAACTACAGGCCTGCACCACTGCACCCGGCTAGTTTGTTTTTGTTAGAGTTTTGTCTCTAGGATTTTCCTCAGCTGAGTATGTGAAGGCTAACTTCTCCTTGTGAATCTGCAAATATCCTTATTTTACCCTTTATTTTACCATGTATCATTTACAGGTAAATGATATCTTAGCTGTGTATTGAATTTCTGTTTTTTGTTTTTTCTTCAGTACTCTATAAATATTACTCCAGTATCTTCTAGCTTCTCCCATTTTCTCCTAGTGAATGGTTATTCTGCTCTTATCTAGCAGGTGATAAATCTGTCAACAGATAGTTTTTCCTTTTTGTTTTATGTGTAAGTTGTTATTTCTTCCTTAAAGTTCATAATCTTTTCCCATTTATTCTCTAAATTTTAGACTATAACCAGGATGTGTTTAGGTTGATATCTTTGCTTATCTATTCTGCCTGGAAATCAGGAACCTCTTCCAATATTCAGACTTGTGTTTTCAGCTCAGAATAATTATTTTATCATTTGTTTGATTATTCCTTTAGTTGCACTGGATCTTAGTTAAAATGCCCATTCTGATTCAAAGTATCTGGAAGGCAAGTATTTGTCAACTAAGGGAAAGGTGACCATGCATCATTGGTTTTGCTGAGACTACCTGGTTTACACCTTCAGGCTTTATACTTAGAAAATATTGCGATCATCTTCTGGTCATGAAGTTACAAACTTCAGGACAAAGGCTAACCAGCTAAGACTAGCAGAGCAAATTCCAAGAACTTGGGGCTTTAATTAACTTGAATTGATTTGGACTTGCCCTACCTTTAACTTCACACTGAGATAAAAATTCCCCACATTTTCAAGCCATTTTTGAGATGAGTCTCTTATGGTTGAAAGCATCCTAATTTATACAACATCCTTTTGGTACCTAACTAAATATTCACCAATATTTGGCACATTTGTTAAATCTTTTGGTGTGTGCCTCTTCTATGTAATGTAAATATGGTCTGAATATCCATTCAGAAATTATAGTTGATTTGCAAAAATAACTACTATATCACCTATATTAATTGATAGTTATTCCTTCCCAACCTTCTTTCACTCTTCCATATATATACAGAGTAAATCTACATCATTATGTTGATTAAACAAAATAGCAGTGAAATCAGGATGTTACTGCTCATTGTGCATTTATTTCAATTATGGAAAAAGCCAACACTTTACTCCCTTATTTAACACTTCTGTAGAAAAGCAGTTGAAATAACCTAGTGTCATTCTAAAATGATTTGTATACTATGTAGACCAGAATCTAGGGCTATACCTAAAAATACATAAATGAAATTATTCTAGAAGTTAAATCTTCATGAAAAAACAAATTAAATGGTTTACTAACCTCAAGCTGATTAAATGTTTTTATTAAATGCAGCCTCAGCCAGCACCTCTTTTCATGGCTGCAATAATTAAGTATAATAAATATTCAAATCAGTAATTGAATTTGTTAAAAAAAACATGCTCAGCTCAGTGAAGACTTTCTAATAAATAGAATTCAGGTACCATATTTTCATACTTCATGACACTTGCCTCATCTTAGTTTGATGACTGCCGTTTCTTGCACTGTAACAAGATTTTATTTTTATTTTGTTTTACGCTATTCAAACAAATACATTCAAAGTCATAGGCTACACCTATGTATAACCATATTCTGAGAGTTGGCTTATGTGTTTGTTTATTTTCTCACAATTAAAGATAGGTCAGATGTTGCCAAATTAGTAAATAACTAAACTTGAGATGGGAAATACTCTAGAGACACAATCTGCTTAGTTTTGCATAGTTTTGCATAGTTTTAGTCACTTTTCCCGTTACTCTGTCCAGCTTTCCAGTAATACTCATAACATTGCCTTGATTTCATATGACCACGCAGTAAAGTGATTACTGCACTTAGAATTTTGTTGCTTTTGCTGTGCTAACAACTTAAAAGTTTAAAATAACTGATGTTCAAAACAGTGAAGATTTCCTTTTATAAACAAGTTGGAAAGGAAAGTTTTTATGTTATTATCCTCAAGTATTCTAACTAATATAAAATGTCTTTCAGTCTTTTAGGCAAACCATTTAGACAAAAAGTACAAATAATAAATTTACATTGTGTTAAGCTGCGATCATATTTCTTTCTCTTGATTTACTTTTGAAATTTTCCTTATGCACCTGGTGATACTGAAAGATGAGTCAAATAGTGTAATACAATAGGGCAATATGAACTTCTGTTGTAGTTTCCATTAGTTGCATCAATTCAAATTGCACCTGGAAAAGATCTAAGCACGACATAAAGCCAAGACAGCACATAAGGGTGATGGCAAACAATAATAATATTTACATCTTTTTTTTTTTTTTTTTTGGAGACAGAATCTCACTCTGTCGGCCAGGCTGGAGTGCAGTGGCGTGATCTCGGCTCACTGCAACCTCCGCCTCCTGGGTTCAAGCGATTCTCCTGCCTCAGCCTCCTGAGTAGCTGGGACTACAGGGTCCTGCCACGATGCCCAGCTAATTTTGGTATTTTTAGTAGAGACGGGGTTTCACCATATTGGCCAGGATGGTCTCAAACTCCTGACCTTGTGATCCACCCAATCTTCATTGCATCATTTAACTTTCATTGGTATCACAGTAATTCACTAACATTCATTCCTTACAGGCAGTTATGAATAATTGAAAAATTTTTAACATCATCTCATGGGCAAAAGAATATTTATTCATTGGCTTAGCTTAACAAATCATTATTAAACACCTACTGTGTGCCAGGCACTGTTCTAGACACTGGAGTTACAGCAGTGAACAAAATAAACACGCTCTCCAGTCTGGTGGAGTTCACATACTGGTGCGGGGAGAGAGATGCATACAAACAAAAATGCATATTTAATACTTCACCAATTGATAGGTGCTATGAAGAAAAATAAACCATAGTAAGGATGACATAGAGTGCTGGATGGAGGTTTTAGTACATATACGTTAGCCAGAGAAGGCATCTCTGAGAAGTTGCCATTTGAGAAAAAGAGGGAGTAGGCTCAGTGGATTCTGAGGGAAGAATAAGTTTGAGATTCTGAGTCATTCATGTCCTTGGCAGATCAATAAAGAGGAAGCAGATGCTGTGGCCGGAACTCAGTGTGCATGTTGGGGCAGTGGTAGGAGGCTATGGTTGTAAGACAGGGCTACCTCCCATAGGGTCTTGAAGACCATAGTAAAGACTGTGGCATCTCCTCTCCAGTAGTTTGAGCAGAGGAATGGTAGCATTCTACTTAGGATTTAAAAGGTTTGCTCTAGCTGATTTGTGGAGAATAGGTTTGTAAGGCAGCATAGTGAATGAAAGGAGAAAAGTTAGGCGATTGCAAACATCCAGGTGAGAGTTGATATCAGACGGTGATGGTGTCACAGATGCGTTTCATGCGATGGGCTCAATTAATGGCCTCCATGTTTCACCCTTCTCTTTCTTGGGACTGGCTTGCCTGCTGGAAGGTGAGGAAACAGCCTGTCATCCCAGCTGAGGCCATCCTAGATCAGCCAACTGTCAGCTGCTTGTGTGTCAGTGAACCCCAGCCAAGACCGGAAGACCTGCCCAGCTGAGCTCAGCCAAGATCAGCAAAACCTCTCAGCTTATAACCTTATAAACTTACCAATTTAGGTGTGGTTGTGACACAGAATTATTGTATTATTGTATGCATGGTGAGTATTGTATATTACACATGGGAATCATAGAAACAGTGAAAAGCCAGTAATTTCTGAGTATATATTAAAGTTAGGGCAAATTGTGTGAGGTGGAGAAGCCACATACTCCAAATTTCTGGCCTGAGACATTGGAAGAATGAATATGGATGATGGAGGTGGATATTGAATCTGAAATGAATTTTTCATTTTGTGAAATTTTGTGAAGTTTCATTTTGTGTTGAATATCTTGTGACTCACCGAAATGAAAATCATAAAATAAAATTTGTCCTTAATGCCTAAAATTTTATAATGTTGTTCTATTCTTTAGGAAAAAAAATTCTGGCTGGGCGTGGTGGCTCACGTCTGTAATCCCAACAGTTTGGGAGGCCATTGAGGTCAGGAGTTCACGACCAGCATGGCCAACATGGTGAAACCCCATCTCTTAAAAAAAGAAAAAAAAAAACTATCAAACATCAGCATGGCTTTGGCTAGAGACACAACAGAAATAAAAACCCAGTTAAAAACCTGCTTCTCTTTAGTCACTTTGCTAGAGAAAAAGTGTCAAAGTCATATGGCCTAATTATTTTCAAAAATAATGTTATTAAATATTTCTCCACTAATTGTGGAACTGGACCTTGGTAGATGCTGGCCCTTTACCTGACCAGTGTGTTTCCTCCCAGCTGCTGTGACTGCTACTGCTAGTAGCTCACAGCCGTTCACTCTCCCGGGAAATGCCCTTGGCCAGTGGGGCCCACCTACCAAGAGACGTCTGGAAGTTACAGTGCACTCACCCATCAAATGAATAGTGCAGGGGTACAAAAAGCCAGCACCTTGCCTCATGGTTGGAGAACTCAATTTTGTCTATAATGCAGACAGAAGTCAGCATTGTCGTTTCCTCCTAATTAATAAATATTTAATACTAGTTTTCCATTGCACAGAAATTAAAACCCTATAGTATCTCATTGCTTCCTCTTATCTAAAAACATTTAAGTCACTGTTTAGTATCCTTGGTTCTTGTGCTGTTTTCTGTAACTGTGCTGCCTCAAGTTACTTCTTGTTGAAGAGCTAGCAGAGTTATGGGACAGAATTTGGCAGTGCTGCATGGAATGTCACTTGAGTGGAGTTTGTCAATAGAACAGCACTTCACCATTCGCACCCAGAGCTGCTCTGGTAATCAGCAAAGGCCAGATTCCAGTTAGATCCCCATCTCTGCTCAGCCCCCTTCTCCTGTCCTTTGCTGTTCTCCTTAGCATCTTACCAATTTCTTCTGAGAGCACTTCCTCAATAAATCACCGAGCAAGAAAGAATCCCTGCCTTGTGCTCTATTTCTAGGAAGCCTGAAGTAAGACAAGGCTTGATTAATATTGCAAAGTACATCTAGGGTAGTAATGCCATAGGAAGATGAATATTGTTAAATGCCTCCAGTGTGGTGGCTTTTTACAAAAACGTTCACTTTATCTTTGAAAGATATCACATTAGTAGCCTTTCATGCCAATGCAGCAACTTACATACTGATTTTCATAAAATTATTATTGTGAAATTTGGGGGGAAGATGCGTATTACATATACAGAGCAGGGTTAATCTGGCTGGGGGAAAAGAGTCTTATATGTAACTAAATCCCGAGTCAACAAAATTTAAGGAATCATGCATTTGTTTAATTTGTTTCATTGTTTCCTAAAACCACATTGCAAGTTAAGAGAATATATTGTCATGACTATAAATGCTTTATTGAATTTGATCGGTTCCTGTAATTATGTATGAAAAACGAGACTTCACAGCCTTTATTCAGAATCATACTTTATATTGCTTATGTCTGACTCTGTAACAGTTCATAAAATTATATAGCATGTTTGGATATGATGAAAATTTAGCATTATCTAACATAAAGCCAAAAGAGAGAGATGTTGGAGAAATCTAGTCCAATTCTTTTATTATTCAGTTGAAGTAATTGTAAGTTACAAATATTAAGTGGTTTGTCCAAAATCAGAAAGGTAATTGGTGTCAGATCTGGAACCAGAAAGTAGAACAGGGTTTAGGAAACATATTCATTATAAGGTTTAACTGTTGTAATTGTTGCTATTTTTGAAAAAAGAATAAAAAATGCATTAAAATGAAATGGATAATTGACAATTATCAAAATAATTGTTTCAAATGAATCACTTATCTACATAATTCAGACAAAAGTCAGCATTGTAGTTTCCTCCTAATTAAATAGATATTTAATACCAGTTTTCCATTGCATGAAAATTAAAACAGAAAAGCCTTTAGAATCTTATTGCTTCCTCTTATTTAAAAACATTTAATTCATTGTGTTAAGTAGTAACCTTGGGCTGCGTCAAGTCACTTCTTGTTGGAGAGCTAGCGGAGTTACGGGACAGAATTTGCCAGTGCTGTGTGGAATGTCACGTGAGTTCAGTTTGTCAATAGAGAAGCACTTCACAAACTTAATGTTCACAAGAATCATCTGGAAGTCTTGTTAAAAGGCAAGTTTTAAAGTGCATGGCCACAAAAATGAAATTAAGAAAATTTCAGAATTTTATTAATTATGAGAATTATGTAATTAAGAAGAATAAATATTTGGAAAAAGTTTAACAAAAGAAGTGCAAGACTTGCAACTGAAAACTACAAATCATTGTTGACAGAAATTGAGGAAGACCAAATAAATGGTAAGCTATTGCACGTGCATGGATGGGAAGACGATGTTAACATGGTAGTATTCCCAAAATTGGACTACAGATTCAACACAATCCTTATCAAAATCCTAGCTGTCTTTCTTGCAGAAGTTGACATGGCTGATTATAAAGTCCATATGGAAATGCAAGGGATGCAGTAAGAAGAGTCAAAACACTCTTGAAAAACAAACAAAGTTAGAGAACTAACACTTTAGAGTTCAAAATTTACTACAAAGCTGTAGTAAACAAAACTGTGGTACTGGCATAAGGATAGAGATATAGGTCAATGGAATCTACTAAGAGTACAGAAATAAACCAATACACCTATGGTCAGTTGAATTTTAACAACGTTTCAAGACCATCTAATGGGGAAAAGAAGAGTCTTTTCAGTAAATGATACAGGGACAACTGGATATCTACATGCAAAATAATAAAGTGGGACCTCTACCTCACATCTTATACAAAAAAATTAACTCAAAATGGACCAAAGACCTAAATATAAAAGGTAAAATTATAAAATTCTTAGCCAAAAACATAGCAGTAAGTCTTTGTGACCTTGGATTAGGCATAATACCTCTTAAATGTAAAACCTAAATACAAGTAACCAAAGAGAAAATAGATAAATAGGACATCATTAAAAAAAACTTTTGTGTTATAAAGAATACTATCAAGAAGTAAAAACCCACAGATTGGGAGAAAATATTCGCAAATCATATATCTGATAAAGTTATAGTATCCAGAATATATAAAGGACTCTTACAACTCATCAATAAAAGACAAGTGACTCAATTAAAAAATAAAAGAGTTGAATACTTATCCAAAGAAACATATAAATGACCAATAACACATGAAAAAAAATCTCAACATTATTAGTCATGAGGGAAATGCAAGTCAGAGTTACATTGAAATATTACTTCATACTCATGAGGATGGCTAGAATCAAAAACATGGACAATACCAGGTGTTGGTGAGGATGTGGATGGAACCCTTAGACATCACTGATGGGAATGTATAATAGTGCACCCGTTTTGGAAAACAGTCTTGCAGTTTCTCAAAAATTTAAACATAGAGCTATCATATTATCTAGCAATTCCCACCCCCAGGTATATATATACCCAAGAAAATTGAAAACATATGTTCACACAGAAACTTCTATATGAGTGTTCATAGCAGCATTATTCATAATAGTCAAAAAGGGAAACAACCCAAATGCCCATCAATTAATGAATAAACAAACAAAATGTGGTATATCCATAAAATAGAATATTAGCTATAAAAAGGATTAAAGTACTGATACATGCCTCAACATGAATAAATCATAGAAATACTAAATGCAATGAATTAAATGTTTTTAAACAAGAGGAAGCAATAAGATTCTAAAGGCTTTTCTGTTTTAATTTTCATGCAGTGGAAAACTAGTATTAAATATCTATTTAATTAGGAGGAAACTACAATGCTGACTTTTGTCTGAATTATGTAGATAAGTGAGTCATTTGAAACAATTATTTCGATAATTGTCAATTATCCATTTCATTTTAATGCAATTTTTTCTTTTTTCAATAATAGCAATAATTACAACAGTTAAACCTTATAATGAATATGTTTCCTAAACCCTGTTCTACTTTCTGGTTCCAGATCTGACACCAATTACCTTTCTGATTTTGGACAAACCACTTAATATTTGTAACTTACAATTACTTCAACTGAATAATAAAAGAATTGGACTAGATTTCTCCAACAGCTCTCTCTTTTGGCTTTATGTTAGATAATGCTAAATTTTCATCATATCCAAACATGCTATATAATTTTATGAACTGTTACAGAGTCAGACATAAGCAATATAAAGTATGATTCTGAATAAAGGCTGTGAAGTCTCGTTTTTCATACATAATTACAGGAACCGATCAAATTCAATAAAGCATTTATAGTCATGACAATATATTCTCTTAACTTGCAATGTGGTTTTAGGAAACAATGAAACAAATTAAACAAATGCATTGTGTATACAGTCTGTCATTGAGCAAAACTTTGTTATGCAACTTATGACTGTATTTAAAGTGTACGATGTAGTGGAGTTTCTTGTATATTCACCGTATTGTATGATCATCATTATACTTAATTCCAGAATATTTTCATCACTCCAAAAAAGAAATCCTGGACCCATTAGCAGTCACTCCTCATTTGCTCCTTCCCTAATCCCTAGGCAACCACCAATCTCCTGTCTCTATGGATTTGCCTATTCTGAACATTTTATATACATTCATGTAAATTTCATATAGGTGAAATAATACTTGGCTTTTATCAATTAAAATAATATTTCTATGAAATTTACATGAATTTTAAAAATAGAAGAAAGCTTATAGAATAAGGGTATAAAGAAAATATTTTTGTATGATGTGTTTGTTTTAAGCTAAGTGTTATTATGACAGAGTCAAAAAGTTTTAAAAAACTAAAATATATAAAGTTTACACTAAGTTAAGGTTAATTTATTATTAAAGAAACAAAAACATTTTTCATAAGTTCAGTGTAGCCTTGGTGTTCAGTGTTTATAAAGTCTACAGTGGTATATATACAGGAATGTTGTAGGCCTTCACATTCACTCACCACTCTCTTGTTTACTCACTCAGACAAACTTCCAGTCCTGCAAGCTTCATTCATAGTAAGTGCCCTTTATAAGTGTACCATGTTTTGTTTTTTATACCATCTTTTTACTGTATCTTTTCTATATTTAGATTCACTAATACTTACCATTGTGTTATAATTGCCTACAGTATACGGTAAAGAGTATAGTAACATGTTGTACAGGTTTGTAGCTTAAAGGCAATAGGCTTATAGCCTAGGTATATAGGCTATGCCATCCAGGTTTGTGTATGTATCTGATACGGTTTGGCTGTGTCCCCACCCAAAATCTCATGTTGAATTGTAATAATCCCCACATGTCAAAGGTGGGACCAGGTGAAGATAATTGAATCATGGGGGTGGTTTCCCCTATTCTGTTCTTGTGACAGGGAGTGAATTCTCATGAGATCTGATGATTTTATTACAAGTGGCTTCCCCCTTCTCTCGGCTCTCATTCTTGCTCCTGCCACCATGTGAAGAAGGGCGTGTTTGCTTCCCTTTCCACCGGGATTGTAAGTTTCCTGAGGCCTCCCCAGCCATGCGAAACTGTGAGTCAATTAAACCTCTTTCCTTTATAAATTACGCAGTCTCTGATATGTCTTTATTAGCAGTGTGAGAATGGACTAATACAATATCCCTGTTGTTTAGCAATGCATAACTGTAGATAAATCTTATAGAGTATGAATTAGCTTATATGTCAATTTTTAAAAATGCATATCTAGAGTGGGGCTCAGGATTCTGGTTTTCTGAAAGCTCTGGGGTGATATTGATGCTCCTTGGGATTAAAAAGGCCTTAGAGAACCCATTCCAAGCTCTGGTGAGGGATATATCACTCTACTTCTGAACATAATATTAGTGATATGTAATTTTTCTGGAAGGGGAAGTTTCTCTTATATCTCCACTGTTAAGGCAGTAACTCTGAACAACAGATCTTGGGTCAATGTGCGATGTATGTATCTGGCAATGTGACATAGACCTGGTGTCATTAAGGTGGTATCTGATTCATGAGGATCAGAGTGGGCTCTAGTGGAGGGAACATCAGAGATATACAACATCTGGGAAACTAGACAGTAGGCTGAAAACTGTGTCAAGCAGGGCCTTACCATGAAAACGAAAGAATTCTAAGGTATTTACACAGAGGAAAATTTACTGGGAATTGGTCATATAGGTGATGGAGGAACTGAGTTAGTTGCCAAATGGAGTGGTGAGATACCCTAGAGTTTACATACAGTAGGAAACTACTAATAGCCCTTAATTGGAAATCAAAGGAAAGTGCTGTGTTAAGGAAGTCTGTGGGCCAGGTTATGCCTAAGAAATTGAAGCCGCAGTGAGTCTGTCTGGCAGGAGCTGGAGACACAGGAGGACACAGCTAGAGGCACTGCACAGAGAGGGGAAGAGCCACCCTTTCTCCCACCCTCCAGGTTCCTGGAAGAGCCTCCCACTGGGTATTGGGTGAAGCTCTTTTGGAACCAGCTATCTCGTGAGCCTGGGAAAGAGCCTATGGATATTTACCCCCTGAAATGCACTACCCACAGCAAGGAAAGAATAATGGTTTGGAGGGCAAATAGGCCAACACTGGCATAAGACCCTTAAGGATAGGGTGCATTTGTAATTTACCATCATAAATGCCAAGGAATAACAAAATGGAAAAGGGCTAGCTTGAAAAGCTATCAGCCTTCATGCTTCCCAACTTTGGTTGCACGTTAGAATCATCCAGGGAGGTTTTGAAAATTCCCTGCCCAGGCAGCACCGCAGACTAATTACATCAGAACCTCTGGGGATGGAACCCAAGCATCAGTATTTATTAGAGCTACCCATAATATTCCAACATCCAGCCACAGTTAAGAACCACCACTTTAAAAAAAGAGATTGTGCATATAATATTTTTATGTGACTTACTACCAGGAATTATAATAATAGAGGTCATAATTTTTCTATTAGCCTTGTAATTCAGTAGCAAAATAACTACAGCAAGAGGAAAAAGGAAGGAAATAAGGCTAGACAAGGAATCTTTGCAAATTGAATCTTTTTTTATGGTGAATATAATATTGTAGAGAGACACATGTAAAAGGTAAGCAAAATATTGGGGCGGCAGTCTTCAGCAGAGGAGCAATTCAAAGGGAGAGTCTGATTAGGAGGATGGAAAGCATCAGTCTAAGCTGATGGAAACAAGAGAATTTGAGGCAATACATTCAAGAGAAATTAGACAAATCAGCCAGACACTGTAGACAGGGCCACAAAAGAAGAAAAAGGGCAGAACCGGGGAAAGAATTGCATTCTTTTGACCATAAAAGTGAGAGGACCCAAGCGCATAATAGAAAAACTACAAGTAGGGTTGCAGTCAGTAGGCATGTGCACGTGCTGGTTCTGGTTGCTCAGGCAACAGAGGCCCTTTCCTCATGTAATCGCAGTATAATGAGGAAAATCACATGCAGATGTAGTAAAGAATAATTAGAGGTGAAGTCACACCTGGTCCAGGGAGCGTCTTCCTTTGGGGAATGCTAAGTAGGAATTTGGGTGAGATTTATGTGAGAGGTTGTGAAGGTGTGAAGGGGATAAATTTGATTTTTGTGTGAAAGCAGGAAGCTGAACCTTCTGTAAAGTGTCTGGTAATGGAGTATGAACCATGTGTCTACTTCTCCATATTGTTTCTTGATGCACTGTGTAAGTTCACCTGGGGATGGGGAAATCCAGACATCTGGGGCTTGGTTGGCTTTTCATTCAGAAAGCAGAAACACATTGATTTTTAGATGCAAGAGGGAAAATTACAATCTACAAAGATCACCCTGCCCTTTTTAAGATATGTAATTTTTTTTTTTTTTTTTTTACTCAGTTGTCCTGCTTCCCAAGTTATGGAAAAATTCTAATTTTGTGTTTAACATTTGAACATTTAAAAATATTGTTTAATATTGTGAAAGGATTATCTCCACATATTATCTTTGATATTTGAAGACACTTTCCAGTATTTTTTTATATATTAAAAAATAAATTCAATGAGGTATTTTACTTTTTAAGCAGTTTCTTTGTCAGTGATTGAAGCAGAAGACAAAATGCTTAAAATCTTAGAGGAATGTTTCACAAACTTGAATGTGCATAAGAATCACCTGGAGATCTTATTAAATTTCAAATTCTGCTGGTCTGAGGTGGGGCCTGCCATTCTGCATTTCTAAGTAGCCCCCAGGTAATGCTGTTGCTGCTGGTCCAAGGACGTCACTTTGAGTGGCAAGATTTTAATTGATTATGGTAGTAACCAGAATCTATAAATGGTAATTTGACAGTTAAATATTAATCAAACATAGTATTTTTGTTTTATGAACTTTTTTCATTTGTGGAAACAATTTTTGTTGATTTATTTTCGTTTTATAAATTATACAATATATAGTTATTTTAAAAATTCAAAAATTATAGAAATATATAGAGTAAAAGTAAAAGTCCATCTTCATTCTTCATTGAAACCTTTTCTCTTTTCTAATTTCTCTTCTCTGTGGATAATATTTTGGTATAATAAGCATATATATATATATACACACATACACACAAACACACACATATAAAAATAACTGAGGGTAGTATAATGAATACTTTGGTATTTATAGAGAACTTTTACAATGCATTTAGAAGTGGATACACACATGTGCACACATCCACATACATAAAATATAAGACAGGATCACATTGTATGCAATTTTTTTCCATGTGCTTTTAAAAAACTTAACAACTTCAAATTGACATTTTTTCCATGTCAATATTTATTTAATTTTGTGACTGCATACCAGTCCATTCTATTGATTGAGGTTATTTCCATCGGTCACTTTTAGAAATAACAATCATTTTTACACGTATTTTTGCACATATGTGAGTATTTTAGTAGGCTAATGGCTAAGTTAAAGTTGATTTTTAATTTGACTAGTAATGCCAAATTGATTTCCAACATTGTGGAGTAGAAAGCTATTTTCCTACTTCCTCATTGAACACTGGATATCAGAGCTCTTTTAAAATTTTTGTAAACTTTATAAATGTTTGTTGTTATTTTTAAGTTGCATTTCCCCAATTGTGAGTTTGAACATTTTTTTCATACATTTACTATTTATTCTTTTGAAAATTGCTTATAGACACTATTCCCATTTTTATTTCTATTGACTTGTTTGTTTTTAATATTGATTGATGGGAACTTTGCGTATGACGGATGTCAACTTTTTGTCCAATATTTGTATACACACATGCATATTTTTGCCAGAGGCAGAATAGCACGCTGGTAAGTAAGTGAGGAGCACTGGCTCCGAGTTTGCATCTTGGTTTCACCACTTGGCAGCTGTGTGACCTTTGATAGGCTATTTAACTTCCCTATATTTCAGTTTCCTCAACTGTGTAAAGTGTAAATGGAATAATAATGGTATGCACCACATATTTAAATACCATTTATTTATTCCTTTTCTACGCATATGAATGCTATCTTTATTATAATATTTCCAGCTGTTCTTATGCATGTACTCTTAGAGATAGCATTTTGAATCAACTGGAATAACTTCATTTAAAATTACCCTTAGAGTTTTAATAGGGATAACGCTGAATAGATTAAGAAAAAATTTAAAACTTATAAATTTGAGGCTTCCCATTTCAAGCCATGTTACTCACTTTCTGATGTTTAGGTTTATTTTTCTGACTTTAAATATGAGTTTTTAGTAACTTTAAGGTTTTATGGGGAAACAGATATTATGCTTTTGCTGTATTTTGAATGGGATCTTTTTATTGATGGCTCATTGTTACTATATTGAAATGATGGTTTTTGTATGTTTTGCTATCCCTAGACATCTTGCAAATCTATTTATTTAATGTGTTTTTATTTCATTATTTTAAATTTTAATGTGAAAGGATTTATTTTTTTCTAGTATTTATCAATGTTTTGGTCTCTTTTTATAGGACCCTCAGGAGTATTTTGAATAATGGGGATTTGTGGAATTATTGCCTTGCCTGTGATTTTAATGAGAATAAGTCTAACATTTTATCACTGGTATTTGACAGTTTTTTTGAAGGCAATCTGTCAAATTTAGGAAATGTCTTCTTTTTCCCAACTCCCTGAGAGTTTTTAATTTTTTAGACAGGGGTGGCTAATATAGTCTGTCAAATACTTTTCCAAAGACTGTTGAGATAGTATATGTTCTGCTCATTTATTCTATTAATCCAGTGCTTTAAACATGCATGCGTTTCCTATTACTACAACATTCTTGCATTCCTAAAATAAACCTTCCTTGATCGCCATGCATTGTTAATACTTTAAGATGTTGCTGCAGTAAATTTGAAAATATTGTATTCATTATTTTTATTTGCATCGAGCTTAATGTCTATTCTCTTTACTGGTGCTCTCTTTATTGGGCATAATATTAGCATTCGTCAAGCCACATGTAATTATTTAGGAAGGTTTTCATCTTTTTAATGTTCTGGAATAGATTATAAATGTTAAAGGGATTATTTATTCGTTAAAATTTTTATAGAAATCCCTCCCCACAAACCAGTAAGGCTTGCTGTCAAATTAGGGAATATGGCGGTGCAAAGACTAGATCTTTGACTTTCATCTCAAGTTCTTCAATAATGTTGATTTTCTAAGCTGGGCATGGTGGCTCATGCCTGTAATCCCAGCACTTTGGGGGCCCAAGGTGGGCGGATCACCTGAGGTCAGGAGTTTGAGACCAGCCTGGCTAACATGGCGAAACCCCATCTCCATTAAAAATACAAAAAAGTTAGCCAGGCATGGTGGTGGGTACCTGTAGTCCCAGCTCCTTGGAAGGCGGAGGCACAAAAATTGCTGGAACCCGGGTGGCGGAGGTTGCAGTGAGCCGAGATCACGCCACTGCACTCCAGCCTGGGCGACAGAGTGAGACTCTGTCTCAAAATAATAATAATAATAATAATGTTGATTTTCTAATTTGAAGTATATTTAAAGTCAATAAGCAAACATTCAAAAACACTTGTATGACTCTCCTAAATCTTTATTATTTAAATAGTTTTCTATTGTACTCGAAAAGATTTGAAGGTATATCCTTCTGTGTCCAAAAGGTCAGTATAATATTATGTATACATTATCTTCGTAGCACAACTATTTGGAATAAGCTTTTCTTCAGAGATGTATCGGCATAAAGGAGCTCTGATTTGTTTAAATATTTTAAAAGGTATTAAAATATATTTTCATTTGAGAACCTCCCCTATATACTCAGGAAAGCTCACCTTTTCAAAACCTGAGTGTTAACTCTTTCCAAACGTTCTGTAATGTTTATCAAAAACAAAAAATAATGAAAAGAGGTGAACATTATTTTGGAGAGCCTCATTGTCTTCATCTACTCAGATCATCCACAATCACTGGAGAGGAGGCAGAATTTTGTCAATGGGACAGCAGTCACTTGACCCAGAATCCTCTACAGATTCCCTCCAGGGAGCCCTTCCCATTGGCTCTTTCCTAATAATTTCATGTTTTTGGGTTTCCTCAGTAAAACTTTGGTCTTAACAAAAGTCTTTATTCCCCTGTTATAATTATCACCCTAACTACAGGCAAGAAAAAAAATAATCTACCACTTATATCAGTCAACTACTGCCGCTATAATGTTACCTCATAGATTCACCCACAAATTTAGTGGTCACAGAAGTAAGCATCTGCTGTCATGCTTGGATTCTTGAGTTGACTGCTATTGACTCATTTAGAATATGCTTGATTGGGCAGCTCTATTTCCGTATTTATGTTCCAAGACTGAAGCTCTTGGCTATGATGGGTTCAAGTTTGCTCCACGTTTCCTTCCAGGGCCTAGGCTGAAGGAGAAGACATAGCAGCCCATGGGACATGTTCGTCTCATGGATGATCACAATTGCCAAGAAGATAAGCCAGCATACAGGTTATGCCAGGTCTGCTAACAACTTCTTTTCCAAAGCAAGTTACATGGCCAAATCTAGAATCAAGGGGTGGGGCAGTTCACTCAGTCCACTAGGCAGTAGTATGAATTTATAACTTAATTAAGAGGAAATGAAGAATTGGGGTGAATTTTTAAAATCTATGATACCACTGAGAGTATTTCCTTTCTGGACTCTTTCGGCTCTGCCCATGCTTCTAGCCCTGGTGAAATCCACTGTGTTTAAGACCTATTTTCATATCTTGTCATCCAGCTTTTCTATCAGAAAGCACTCATTATTTGAGTGGCTCCATCTTAGTAATGAACCAGAGCAATGACTAGTAAGAGAAAATTTAAAAATATCCATCAGTCCCCATGTAGTCTTCACAGAAACAGAGCCAAACAGTTGTTACTTAACATAGTTCAGTGAGGTTCTTGGTTTATAGGTGAAAGCAATAAACATGTTGGTTTCTTTTCTTTCCTCATTTGTTCTGCAGCAATAGCAAAGGGGATTTTCATTAAAGTGATCCAATTCCAGTTTAAAGTTTTGGTCTGCAAAGTTTAACAAATAGTCTCAGTTTCAGAGTTCATTTTAACTGCCTCTAACCCTTTACTAATTAACTTACCATCTTTCCTTCTAGATGCTAGAAGAAGACTGTTGCTATTGTTTTTCTCCATGCTCAAGGATTTTTGTCCTTTGCAAAATAATCTCAGAATGTATTGTAGAAGCTACTGATGCCCCAATCTATGTCCGTCAGCCAAATGTCTGGATTCACTGCAGCTGCGCGACACACCCATGTCTTTCTACCTCAACTATCCACGCCTCTCTGCTTGCTTCTCTGCCTGTGGGGCTTTCTTGGCAGTACAGGAGTTTGCTCTGCCTAGAAGTGTAATGAGTTTAATTTCCCAGCAGCAATTTTCAACCAGTGAGAAACTGGAACTGGTGCATAAACAGCCCAGATTCCCTATCACCCTTTGGGCCACACTCTCAGAAAGCTTGAGATTGCGGTTACCTGCTCCCTGCTCCCTTGTGCACACACCTTTCATTGGCTGTCTTCCCTTTTCTACTTCACTCCTCACTCCCTTGTTGCACTTCCTGGGATCACCTGTCAAACTACCTGGGGCATGGTGACATGCATCTGTAGTCCCAACTACACAGGAGGTTGAGGTGAGAAGATCACTTGAACCCAGGAGTTCTAGTCCAGCCTGGGCAACATAGCAAGACTCCTGTCTCTTAAAAAATAAAATAAAATACATGTATCTACATCATTTTCTCAGGGTTGGCTTTTGGAGGAGCCTAAACTAAGACTGTAAGCAGGAAACACTGAGAGCTCTCCCTAAAATGCACAAAACTCAGAGAAACTAAAGCAATAAAGTAACTTAATTTATGTGTAGATAAAAAGTGTCTCAGAGATGGCATTGTTCTGTCAGAGCTGGCAAGTTAAAAAGCAGCCAAATACAAAAAATATGCACAGAAGAAAAAGAAAAACACTCATCCAGGTGCTGGTCTGTGTTTAAAGCACAGAGAGGTGCAGTTTAGTCTTAGGCTTCTTCTGTGCCCTGGTATATTAGTCTGTTCTCACTCTGCTATGAGGACATACCCGAGACTGAGTAATTTATAAAGTAAAGAGGTTTAGTTGACTCACAGTTCAACATGGCTGGGTAGGCCTCAGGAAACTTACAATCATGACAGAAGGGGAAGCAAACACGCCCTTGTTCACATGGCAGTAGCAAGGAGAAGTGCCACGCAAAAGGGGGAAAAGCCTGTTATAAAACCATCAGATCCCGTGAGAACTCACTATCATAAGAACAGCATGAGGGTAACGACCCCCATGATTAAATTACCTCCCACCAGGTCGCAGCTCTAACACATGGGAATTACAATTCAGATTACAATTCACAATGAGATTTTGTGTGGGGACACAGCCAAACTATATCACCTGGCTTCTTCCACTCCCTAACTAGTATTACCAGATCTTTTCTCTCTGTGGGTGCTCCTTTCTCTGACTATTGTCCAGAAGGGACAAATATGGTCCTGTGCTCATTATTTCAAGAACAATAGATTTGCATCAGACTCATGTGCTTCTGAGAAATGATGTCGAACCACTCTTGCGTTGTAGCTCACATCCTCTTGGCCACATTTTTACAGCAACCAGCTTTGTGATAGTGTCACTGCCAGCACCTTGCATCAGCTGCAGCACTTATCTCTTGCTTCTCTGTTACCATCTGTTAAGATGCCTTCTGCAAACTACTCAGCCATTCTGAAGCAGGTGCAATCTTTGAAGTCCACGGTCGTGAACAGCCTTTCGGCCAACATGACCAATGGTAGAAGACAGTCAATGGATCATCCCTTCTCTCATTTGTCTTTCTGGTGGACAATTTTGAAGTGTATTCTGTGTAGTTTCTCAGAGTGTCCCCTGGAGACCTGTGTCTCATTTGCTCACAGCATTGTTTAGATTAACACATCTTCTTGATTTTACTTTTTCCTGCATGTACACTCTTGTGTCCAACCCAAGTTTCTGGGGAACACTATGCTGTTTGGGTCCACATTTCCCTGTTTCTCCCTTCCTAGTGGCTCCTCACACAACCCTGGACCAATTGCTCTGACATCAACATGGTCTCCATCTTGCCTTAAAATGAACAAAGGGGTAAAGATTTAAAAATGAGAATCTTGCTGCTAACTGCTCTGAAGGTATTAACCACGTGTAAAATTTTGAACAAATGTTTATAACTCTAACTTGTTGAATACTTGTTGACATACTTGTTGAATTTGTTAAATTTTAAAAAACTTACTGATTGTAATTGTTGAATTTTTGAGAACCCTAATTCTTCCTCAAAATTGGTCCTTCATTCATTTCCACTTTTCTTTGGAATGTACGGTATTTACAACCATGGCTGCAGATTTTTTGGGGGTTGGTTATTGATTCAGAAAAAATGCTTATTAATATGTCATTTGGGCAGGCACTATAAAGAATATAGAGTGACTAAAATGCAGTTGCTAAAATACAAGGATAATTTAATGATGAAATAGGAAAAGCTTTACAAATAACCAGAGCAAGTGAAATACAGAGTATGATCAGCATAATGAATAAAGTGTTGACATAATACATAATACATGAAGTCCTAATACATAATGTTATGGTGACAAGAGAAGCCCATCTGGTCAGAAGCATAGACTACACACTGTTTTTCAGTTGGCTCATGAAGGATGCTCCTCTTGGGCTGTGCTGAGACTAGCAAAGACAATTGGTGAGCTTTTTTTTTGTCACAATGACAAAAATGTTTGTATTTGGTTGGCTAAGACATTTTGAAGCAACATTTTTCAATTTAATTCTTGAGAACATTTTGATGGCTCGCTCTCGACATCTCAAGCTCCAAGGATATTTCAACAAGTTTCTGTGCTATGTCATCAAACAGCATGTTTCTCCTCTCCAAGATTGAGCTTTTAAGAGTTACGGAGTCTACTTTTCCTGAGGTCGTGAAGTCCTAATACATGTACTTTTGAAGCATGATGACTCTTCATGCCTCCTGGGTATTTCTGCTTCTTTATGAGAATTTCATTGTTATTCATGTGTAGATGACAGTTTGAATGACCTAGAAAGAACAAAACATAAAAGTAATGATTACATAATTCCTGCCATCCCTAATTAACTATGTTTTATTTTCTAAGAGCTGCAGATGTTATATTACTCATAAAAGTCTGTTCATGTATTATTTATGCCACACGAATAAAATGTTTGTTAGCTTGAAACACTTAAGCAAATTCTCTGGGTTTCTTTAAATTAAAAAAGCAGTATGAAGTTATATTAGCCTTGTGTCTTTTGATTTTCTGTATTCTGAAAGGCTTGACATCCAGGGCCTTGCTCCTGCCTCACAAGGTTCACTAATTCCTAGAAATAGTAAGTCAACAACTCTCCTGCTAGCAAAACTTTCAAATGCAAACCAACCAATTCAGAGCCCAACCACTTCCTTATCAGGTCCTCCTCATACACCAGTATCTCCACCTGCCCAAATCTCCCCAGGTACCAGACAAGGAAGGATAAGCCCTGTGCTCAATACTATTTTTACAAGATAAGCACTTACATATTTCACAATAAGTCTAAGAAAAACTTGGAAAGAACAAATATCAAGCTCTGAACAGCGGTGACCTCAAGGGCAAAGGATTAGAGAACAAATTTTTGAGTTCTCCCTTTCATAGGATTTTTTTTTAATGTGAGAATATAGCATGTTTTTATTTTTAAATTTTCCCTACTTTCAAATTTTAAAAAGTATAAAGAGAACCGGTGAAATTAGTTTACTTAAGCACATACTTCATAGCTTTGTAAATATTTTTTATAAATCCTCCAGAGTTTCAGTCTCCTTTCTAAAATAAAATGAATACAATTAAAATGAAATTTTCTCCTTGTAATTATGCCAATGAGATTGATAAAAGGCATGAATTTGGTGGGGAGGAGGAGCGTGCGTATTATGGTGCCAAGTTGGGAAGAAGGAAGAACACGGAATTCTACCCTATTTTTTCATTTTAAATTAATGCCATTTGGAAGGGAGGGGGGCAATAACATTGAGGGAAGAGACACCATACTGTGTTTTCTTTGATTTGAGGGGCATAAATTGTAAGTAAATAAATACCATCTTAAAAGCTTTTTATGGCACTCTTTTGAAAGACATATTTGAGAGCTCTATATATTGTCTTTCTCCCCTCACCCCCACCTGTCCCTCCAGGGATCTTTGACTTTTAAGGTTTTAGGAAATAAGGCACTGAGAAAAATGAGAAAATAAGAATACTGAGCCAGGATCATGATTCAAATAATTTAGTGAGAGCCTTAAACAAAATTAAGAAGTAACCAAAATGAAGAAAACAGAATGAAAAAATGACCAAACTGGGTTAAACATTTGGATGTATTTTTAGTGTTTATTTTCAAGGATTCAAGTGGTATTATCTTTCAACCCTGCAACTTCCCACTGTGGCTGCATGTGAAAGTATGTGGCGATTACATCTGGAACAGGATGAGGCCTGCTATAAATGTGAGGCCTGAACCCTGCCCCTCACCCTCCCCATGGCAGGCACTGATGGACTCACTAATTCCTCCACCACTGAGAAACACAGAGTGGAAGCAGTGAGTTCACTGTGCTATGCATGTGCTTAGAAAATGTCCCGTATTCATTTCCATATTTCTTATGATAATTAGGCAAATTTTATCTCACTTTCATGAAGTAATAAATTTAAAATGAAATTAAATGAAATAAAATATTCTTATCTGTTGGAGAAGCTGTAAGCAAAACCCAAGAGAAACTGCTACACACTTTCTTGTGTGGGGTCAAGGCAGTGCAGTGAGGAAGAGATGAATGCATAAAGTATTTTTACTTTTTAAAACACTCGCCTATGCTGTATAAGTGTCTCTAGCATAGTGTCTACTAAATGGACATGCACCTGATAAATGAATATTGATTGAAAAGTTAAATGAACAAATACATGATGCAATTTTGGGGAGGAGGGGATCATTTTGTTAGCCTTCCAAGAGGACTGAAAATTCATGTTGAAGTAGGTTATTAAAATATTATTGTAAGTACTATGTACTTGTAGGGAATTCATTATTTCTATTGGTTATCAAAAAAAGCTGCATTAGTTATCATGACAGACAAACAGATCAGCATGGCCATGTTATGATTCTTTTTTTTGGCAACATTAAATGCTTCTGTTTCTCTCATTACTTATTGGGAACCCGAATGTGGTCATATATATCCATGTGCTAGATAAAATGATGGATGACCTGTGGTATTTGAAACTGGCTTCCTTCAGCTGTGATCGTATAGTGGTTAGTACTCTGCATTGTGAAACTGGGGTTCTTCAATCAAACTTAATGGGAAAATCTTATTACCACTCATAATAGAACATTATTCCCTTTACAAAGATATTAACCTTGATGCTTTGATCTAAAAATATTTAAGTATTTAATTTTTAATGCAATTCTCTTAACATTTAAAAATAATCTATGACATGCTAGGTGTTACAGATTTCTAAAACAATGAAACATGGCCCTGACCTTGTGAAGCTTGGGGTTTAGTGGGGGAGTCAGGGCTATATATACCATCACAATACACAATAGTGCTATACTTAGGGGTATGAACAAAACAATATTAACTCACAGAGGTGGTGATGACATAGGAGTTAAGAAAAAATTATTTAGGCAGATAGTGAGGGTACGAGAGTCCTTGGTAAAGTTTTCCTTTTAATGAAAAGCAGCCCCCAAATCATTTTCTTTTCTAACAAAGAGCAGCCTGTAAAATAGAGCTGCAGACATAGACAAGAAAGCTGGAAGCTTGCACAGGTGAATGCCAGCAGTTGTGCCAAGAGGAAAAGGCTATCTGGGACTAGGCATGTGCAAAATGGCGACTCCATGTTCCCTTCTTTTGCCAGCTACGTGTACAGTAAGGAGCAGACAAGTTGGCCCTGGCCAAGTGAAAAACCCATTTGCATAATAAGATTAGGGTGGGGTGGCCAGCCTTCCCTGTGCGCTATATAAACATCACATCTGGTCCAACCAATCTGTGGGCCCTAGTAAATCAGACACTGCCTCCTGAAGCCTGCCTATAAAATCTGGTGCAGTATGCCACAGGCTGGTTTTTCCCTTTCGGGAGCCCCTCTCTCACGAGAGAGAGAGCTATTCTCCTTTCTCTTTCTTTTAGCTAGTAAACCTCCACTCCTAAACTCCCTTGCCCTGTGTGTCCATGTCCTTAATCTTCTTGGCGGAGAGACAAACCTTGGGTATTTACCCCAGATAATGACACAGCTTCAGTGAGGTCACTAAAAAGGAGAAATTTTAGTTTGAACTTTTTTATTTATTTATTTTTAGTTTCAATCTCTTTTAGACTTCACTGGATAAAAAAGAGAAGAAATGAATAAGTGAATAAATAAATGTCCTGCCTCTAAGAGACAGCAAGGGCAAAGGCAGAGAGGAATTTAAAAACATGGTATCACAGCACATTCACTGTGCAGTAGCTGGAAATAGAATACAAATCATGCATTGCTCTTCAATGTCAAATTACTGAAGGCCATATGGTGTCTATTTGGCTTGTGTAAACTGCACTTTCAAATACAAGAAACAAAACAAATTGTATTTCAAGTTATTTGCTTCTTTCTTAAGGAGGAATCTACCTACCGTTTCTAATCTCCTTGTCTAGAGGGAACAAACAGGTTTGCATCAGCAGCTATTCTGTTGGTGTAATATGCATGTCCAAAAATAGCACCAAATCAAATAGTTTTAATCCTCAATTTTGTTAAATAGCTGGATATATTGGATATTTTTCCAAAATAAATCTAAATAAATATTGAAAAACTAATAAATATACCAACATGGTATACTTTAGAACTATGAGTGATAGTACGTCAGGTAGCCAGGCAAGTGTAGAAACAGATGTTGCCCAGCACAAGGTCTCTGGGTCTGTTTCTTCCAATCTCCACCCATCATCACTCTGGCTTGACTCCTTGATCATCAGCCTTTGTGTTCTACTCATGATTGTGCCCTTTATTCTTCATTTTTATTTATTTATTTATTTATTTATTTATTTATTTATTTATTTATTTATTTATTTTGAGGCGGAGTCTCACTCTGTCGCCCAGGCTGGAGTGCAGTGGCACAATCTCGGCTCATGGCAACCTCTGCCTCCTGGATTCAAGCGATTCTCCTGCCTCAGCTTCCCAAGTAGCTGGGACTACAGGCGCCCACCACCACACCCGGCTAATTTTTTTTTTTTTTGTATTTTTAGTAGAGATAGGGTTTCACTGTGTTAGCCAGGTTGGTCTCGATCTCCCGACCTTGTGATCTGCCCGCCTTGGCCTCCCAAAGTGCTGGAATTACAGGCATGAGCCACTATTCTTTATTTTTTTTCCATTTGCCTTACTACAAATAAATATATAATCTAATTTCCCAATAAGCCTATATTTTAAAAAAATCAAATTTGGACATACAGACAGTTCAGAAAGGAATAAAACTAAAAAGGAACTTCGCTCCTTTCCCTGCCAAGTTTCCTTCCCAAAGCGGTAAGTGGTATCAATTTCTTGTGATTGCTTCTAGGAAGCGAATGTGTAAATATGTGTTACATTCTGTGACTGGGGTCAATCCTGGGAATTCTGTTTTTCAATACAATCCTCAATATTAGGAAAAATTTCCAATTTATTTGTAGTGTGCAACATACTTTCTTTGGGTAGTTTCAGGTTCCTCTCTGTTTTTGGTTACTCTTCATTTTCAAATTTTAATATTCTGTTTTCTCCTTTTGGTGACTAGGTTCATTAGCAAGTTACTTATAGTTACTAATCTGCCCTTAGTTGCTTATTTTCAATCTATTTACCCACTTTCTGTTTCCTAATTAATTTTGCTTTTATTATTTTCTTCCCTTTTTTAGGTTTATTTTGTTATTATTTTCTAACTTTTGGTCTTGAGTAGCTAAATTTTTTTGTTTTTATTCTTTCCTACTAGTTATATAGATATGCAAGGCTATATATTTTTCTCTGCTTTTAATTTCTAATATTTATTGTTTTAATTATAATAATTTCTAAATACTTTGCAATTATAATTTTGATTACTTGTTTGATCTTTGACATTTATGGGAAGAAAATTGCAAATTTCAAGGTGGTTGTAGATTTTCTCCCTGATTTTTGTTATTATTTTTTATGTCTTGTATGTATTCCTGTGTGCATCAAGAATGTAGTCTGTACTATTTCTGCTTTTCCCCTAATATACAGCCAATTGCTTTATAAATATAAGTGATTAAAGTGAAGTATATTCTATAAGACTATAGAATTTAATATATTTTTATTACTTTAGCTTCAATTATTTTGTTCAGAATTTCAAATTTTTTCTTATCTGTATCTGTTTTTTCCTAGCATTTCTTGAAATTTACGATTTTGTCATTGTTTTTGCTATGTTATTTATTGCTACCTTATTATTTAAGTAAATGCGTGTTATAAATGTTTCATCTTTATGTGTTTAAACTCTTTTAGACTCTTCCTTGAATTCAAACTTCTCTGACATTAGTATCATACTTTCAAATTTGTATTTATACTTTCCTGGTCTGGATTTGTTTAAGCTTTGAAAGTTTTTACCCTTTCAGAATTTCTCTATATTATCCATGTTTTATAGGATATGTGTTCGCTACTTTTTTTTTTTTTTTTTTTTGAGATGGAGTCTCGCTCTGTCGCCCAGGCTGGAGTGCAGTGGCGCGATCTCGGCTCACTGCAAGCTCCGCCTCCCGGGTTCACGTCATTCTCCTGCCTGAGCCTCCCGAGCTACTTTTTAATTTAATTTGTGAAAATTTTCTATTCATTTTAATGTATACCTTGACATGTTTGAGAGCAAAGTTACATTTAGACTTAGTTCTGTCATCTTGACATCTTTTCTGCTTTCAATACTATATGTTCAATTGAACTTTTAAATCTGCAAACTAATATTCGTTTTAGTTATTTTTTTTTTCATTTGGACTCCCGCTTTTGGTACTGGCAGTGCTATTTGAACAAAATATTTTGCTACTTTATTTTTACTACTTCTTACTTGTACCTTTTTTCACTATTTACTTTTTACTATGTACAAATTTACTAGTTAGCTAGTCTAAGGTATAGGACAACAAGACAGGAAATTGATTTGCTTACTTAATTCAAACACATTTTATAGGAGTTTCGATAAATGTGCTTAAGCCAATGAATTATCTCACAACTACAAAACCACTGTAAGTTTGATTAAATCTAGCATGAAAATAGCAGTTTCTGTGGGGGGAAAAATAAAAATTTTTTAGAAAGCACTGAGATATTCTAAAAAACACTGCACCCTCAGCATGAGTTGGCACAACTCAAAAGCAGTAGCTAAGAATCATAAGTAGATATTACTGCTTATAAGCTTATGGGCCAGCTGGATGTTCCTGTGATCTCACCTGGACTCCCTCATGCATATGTGGTTCACTGTGGGTCAGGTATGCAGCTCTGCTAAACTCGGGGGTCTCTCTCCATGTTTGGGAGACGGGTGGCTGTAGCTGGTCCAGGCTGGGCTCCCCAGGGATGGTTGTGATCTGCTCTTCATGTGCTCCCATCCTCTAGCTATCTTCTGGAACTTGTTCCCAAGATGCTGGCAGGACTCCAACAGAAAGGGAGCAGAAGTGCCAGGTCCCTTGAGACCCAGGCTCAAATCTCTATTGGCCTTGCCAAGTCCAAAGGCCAGCCCAGATTCAAAAGGTGGAGAAACAGATGCCACCATCCTCTGCAGGGAGGAGTTAGTTGCACAGTCACATTGTCAAGACCACAGATGATTGAGGAACTGAAACCCTTTGGCAGCGGGCTCTCCATATGCTACTACTTGGAATTAGAATCCTTTTGTCTTCATGCTACCCTCTCCTTGACTCATGCAGCCCAGGCCTTCTCAGGGCCTGGAGCATTTTTCATTAACAGGAAGACTATTTCATCATGTAAAAAAGATGGAATGAAGTCTGCTGTGTGGCAATTCATTTGGGGGCTCTTATTAATGTGTTGTTCTGTGACCTATGTCAATATGTTCACTTTGAAGTTTCAAGATGATCTCCACCCTAGGATAACTGAAAATGTTTACATACCAATTTATGAACTTTGCAAAAGACTATACTTTTCAAACTAAAGACAAAATTGTTGGAGAAAATTTATATTTATTCACATTTGTATTTTATATTAGTGTTTATAAAACACTAATACGTTTAAGAAAGATGGATTTTATATATAGCTGCTCATTGATTTTATTATAGTCATGTTCATTTTCAGGGATGGTATTTCTCATTGAATGATTAATTTATATCTCTGAGATCTGTGATATATAAACACAGTTCCATGATTCCACAGCATTTATGTTTGTATTATTTTTCTCGATCATACTGTAAGTACTCTCCAGTTAAATGAATCTAGCTGTAAAGAATATAACACCTAGAACTAAAAAGTCTTTCCAAATACATTGCCTAAATTTGGCAGGCTTACTTCAGAAACATAGTCTTGTTTTTTTTTTTTTTTTTTTTTTGTTGTTGTTGTTTTGAGACAGAGTCTCGCTCTGTCACCCAGGCTGGAGCGCAGTGGTGTGTGATCTCAGCTCACTGCAACCACCACCTCCTGGGTTCAAGTGATCTTCCTGCCTCAGCCTCCCGAGTAGCTGGGACTACAGGCACGTGCCACCACACCCAGCTAATTTTTGTATTTCTAGTAGAGACGGGATTTCATCATGTGGGCCAGGGTGGTCTTGAACTCCTGACCTCAAATGATCTGCCTGCCTCAGCCTCCCAAAGTGCTGGGATTACCGGCATGAGCCATTGCGCCCAGCCTAAATCTTGTTATAAAATAAATCTGTGATTGGCTCTTTTGAACTTGTCAAAACTACCAATGACATGAAATCATGGGTTTTCACAGAGATGTTATTAAATAAAATTGCTAAAGATCAAAATCCAAGATGAAAAATAAATCCAGGATATATGTCTCAATCATTTATTTCTTTTCTTTTCAGCAAACCATTCACACATAAAATGAAATGGAGAATTTTAGCAATCCTAAGTATTTTAACAGGGCTACTTTATTGAATTTTAGTAAGTCTTGAGATATTTATTGAGATAATTATCACGTATAATAAAAATGAGGAAAAAATTACTTGATTCAATGAGATATTTCTTTTTTTTAATTCATTCTTTTTTAATGATTATTATTATTATACTTTAAGTTTTAGGGTACATGTGCACAATGTGCAGGTTAGTTACATATGTATACATGTGCCATGCTGGTGTGCTGCACCCATTAACTTGTCATTTAGCATTAGGTATATCCCCTAATGCTATCTCTCCCCCCTCCCCTGAGATATTTCTTTTGTGGTCAATATCTATTAGGTGGTGGTATGCAATGGAAATTTTGAAACAATTATTGTGTCCCGAATGATTCATTAAATGATTAGCTAATTGATCATATTTATTATAATCTATTTCAGTCGATGGTCTCTAAGGACAAGAATTAATGTAGGAATGCCATTAGCCGTTTATAAATGAAAATTTTTGCTTTATTCTTAATGACAACTGACTACTAGCTAAAGACAAAGTAAATTAAATAAGTAAACAGTAGAAAAAAACTAGAATATATAGGGACTGTAGTCTAGACAAATTACAGTTATGTAATTTCAAAAGTGCATAACAATGTTTTAGTCAACAACCACATATATGATGGTGGTCCCATAAGATCAAAATGAAGCTTAAAAATTCCTATCGTCTAGTGAAATCGTAACCATCACATCATCACAGCACAATGCATTACTTGTGTTGTTTGTGGTGATGCTGGTGTAAACAAAGCTACTGTGCTGTCGGTCATATGGAAGCATAGCACATACAATTGTGTGCAGTACATAATAATGTATAATAATAATAAATATGTTACTGATTTATGTATTTACTATACTAGAGTTTTTGTTGTTACTTTAGGGTATGCTCCTTCTACGTATTAAACAAAAAGTCCATTGTAAAACATCTTCAGGCAAGTCCTTCAGGAAGTATCCAGAAGTAGGCATAGTTACCATAGAAAATGACAGCTCCATACATGTTATTGACCCTGAATATCTTCCAGTGTGCAGGCGGAAAACAGTGATATTGATGATCCTGACCCTGTGTAGGCCTAGGCAAATGTATTGTTTATCTCTTAGTTTTCAACAGCATAAAAATGAAGATAGATATAAATTTTTTTCAAAAAATATGGATATAAAGAAAATATTTTTGTACAGTTGTATGTTGTTTGTATTTTAAGCAAAGTATTATTTTTACAGAGTTGAAAAGTTTTAAAAATTAAAAATGTTTAAGTTATAGTAAGCTAAGGCTATTAATGAAGAAAATTATTTTAAATAAATTTAGTGTAGCCTAAGTGTACAGTGTGTATAAAGTCTACAGTGTACAGTAATGTCCCAGGCCTTCACATTCACTCACCACTCCCTCACTGACTCAGCCAGAGCAACTTCTAGTCCTGCAAGCTGCATTCATGGTAAGTGCTCTTTACTGGCATACCATTTCTTATCTTTTATACCATATTTTTACTGTACCTTTTCAAAGTT
This sequence comes from Homo sapiens, assembly GCF_000001405.40. Classification (NCBI taxonomy): domain Eukaryota; kingdom Metazoa; phylum Chordata; class Mammalia; order Primates; family Hominidae; genus Homo; species Homo sapiens. The sequence goes on along the minus strand of NC_000020.11, from coordinate 9,997,027 downwards.
TATTTATGTTTAGATACCTCTGTGTTACAATTGCCTGCAATGTTGAGTATAGTAACATGCTGTACCGGCTTACAGCCCAAGAGCGATAGACTACACCATATAGCCTAGGCGTGTAGTAGGCTATACCATCTAGGTTTGTGTAGTACACTCTATGATGTTTGCACACAATGATAAAATCACTAAACAATACATTTCTCTGAGTGTATCCCCCTCTTTAAGTGACATGTGACTTTGGTTGTATAAATAAGGATATCTATTTTATAATTAATATTTTGAATTGTGTTTTCTGATAGTATCTCACGTAATCAACACAGCAACCCATTAGTCAGTTCAGGCAAGCTTTACTAAGTAACTATATAGACTTGTGAGTTTACATGACTTGACCTGAGTTCAGAGCCAGTCTGTGGTGGACTCATTTTACTTGTACCAAAGCCCCTGTTCTCTCTACCAAGACAGTACTACATTTGGCCTCATCTGTGTGCACTTCTGGGAGAGCTTAGCCATTATCAGGGATGATGGAGGTAGAGAAAGAAACTCAAAGAACATATCATGGAACAATTTCCAGCCTTGAAAAATGGCCATAGAAAGAACTCGGTTTACAAACAATTCTTTCCAGTAAATGGACCTGATCTCTGTTCAATGGAAGTCATAAAAAAAACTCAACAATTTAAGAACATGGACTTCAAATCCTATATCAAACTTCACCCAGGCAATGTTAAGCCTTCATTTTATTTTACATAAAATAAAAACTGTTTAATAATTTTAGCAATGTTATTGATTATGAAAAATGTTATTCTGTTACATTTTATGGGTATATTATATTATTGTTCATCAAATATGTATTCACCACTCCCCTCCGTGACTTCTATAGACAGCATGCACTTCTTTGCCCCACTGATGCTGGGCCCAGTCACGTGACTTTCTTTGGCCCATGGAACATAACCCAAAGTGACAATGTGCCAACTCCAAGCCTACACTGTAAAAGTCAACATGTTTGCCTATGTCCTTCTTGTGCTCCAGCCATCCATCACAAAGAGAAGATCATGCCTCACATAGCTGCCAGTTCAAGAAGGAAGAGGGACCTGTGGACGAGGCATTGGGCCCAACCTGCAGCTTGGAGCCCAGACTAGCCACATTTAGTTTAGGTCAGCTGAATCTCAGCAATGCACAGTGAAATCATTGGTAATAAGGCTGGAAAGATAGTGTCTAGAAAACTAAGAATACCAGATTAAGTTATTCACAGTTACTCTATTTTAGGTGAGTGAGAGTTATTACAAGTCTTTGAGCATAAATTTTGCCAAGATTATTCTGGCAACAATGTGTAGGGCATAGGGCCAAGACTTCAAATGGAGTTTACTTCTATAGCTCCCAGAGAAGAAATAAACCATGCCTTTAGTTTGATGCTAGGACTTTGAGAATGCATGAGGCAATATGAAGAATAAATGGGCTTTGGGAAGAACTCATGCTTGGAAATTTACAGCATAATGGCTTAATACCCAACAGAAATAATGAACCTGAATCTCTGAGAATATGTTTGTCACCTAGTTCAGGAGTCTCCCATAAGAACAATCACATAGTAAATATTCTGCAATTGTTTTCTGTTGTCTTTACTTTGGTATCTCTTGATAAGAACCTTCAGGTTAGGCTTTCAGGTCATTGTTGTGTTTTTATATTTGAATGATCTTCATAAGAATTAACTGCCATTAAGCATCAAATGAATTATTGACTTACCTTGTTCAAGACTGAAAGCAAATCTGATAAATGTGCTACTGAATTGTTATGAATTGTTTTTAATTTATCTCAGAACATACTGTACTTATTTGTAGGATTTCATGGTGTGGCTTACTAATATTGAATTCTTCATTATGAAAAGCTAGCTAATCAATGTAAATATACTATGGCTTGAGTGTGTCTCTCAAGATTCATGTGTTGGAAACTTAATCCCCCATGGCAACAGAGTTTGGAGGTGGGGCCTAACAAGAGGTGATTTGGTCATGAGGGCTCTGCTGTTATAAATGGATTAATGTCATTATTGTGGGAGTAAATTAGTTACAAAAGTAAGTTTGGCCACCTCTCTCTCTTGCTTTCATGCTCTTTTGCCCTTCTACCTTCTGCCAAGGAATGATGTAGCATGAAGGCCTTCACAAGATGCTGGCACCATGCTCTTGGACTTCCCAGCCTCCAGAACCATGAGCAAAATAAACAATTTTTTCTAAACTACTCAGTCTCAAGTATTCTGTCATAACAACACAAAACAAACTAAGATAAGATACTTCATGGTCATCAGTGCCAAGAACAAACCAAATGATCAGACTAATATAATTCAATGATTGAGAAACTAGGGCAGTAGTTTTCAATTCTAGCCACACATTACAATCACTTGGTGATGTTTTTAAAATCTCCATGTCAGGGCTTTACCCTAGAACCAAAATCTATTATTTTTAAATAGCTTGCTGGGTGATTTTATTATGCAGCCATGGTTGAGATTGGGCATATATGTCCTATACAGTTTTTAAAAGCCAAATAATCTGGATAGTTTACCTATACGAAATACCCCCTGTGAAGACCATCATTCCCCATAGCCTAGTTTTTATAATCAGGCAAAAAAATAAATTGTATATATATAATTCTATATGTAATTCAATTACATAATTGAATTATACCTATATAGATATCTGTTATATCTGTATGCAGATATAATTATATTGTCTATATTATTATCTGCAATTATATTATCTATATAATTATATTATAGATAATATAATTATCTATATAATTATATTATAGATAATATAATTATCTATATACATAGATATAACAGATATCTATGTATATAGATAGATATATTTATATCTACATATATATAATACATGTATAATGAGATTAACCCAACACAAAAAATGGAACAAATGTGGGAGGTGGACAAAACCACAATTATTGGGTGGAAATTGTGCTCTGAGTGCTTCAAGGTAACTGGTTTTCAAAACGAGTAATTTTTTTTTAAGAAAAATAATTTTATAGATGTCAACACAGCTGGCTGGATTATTGGGATTTTTAAACGATCCTCTTTAAAGGCAATTTGGAGACCTGTCCTGTATATAACAGCACTGTAGCAATAAATGTGACATTTTATAATGATAAAAAAATGCCAGGGCCAGGTTCAGTGGCTCACGCCTGTAATCCCAGCCCTTTGGGAGGCTGAGGCAGGCAGATCACTTGAGCTCAGGAGTTCAAGATTAGCTTGGGCAACATGGTGAAACCTTGTCTCTACAAAAGAGAAAAATACAAAAATTAGCAGGCCATGGTGGTGCACACCTGTAATGCCATCTACCTGTGGGGCTGAGGCAGGAAGATAGCTTGAACCTGGGAGGACGAGACTGTAGTGAGCCGAGATCACGCCATTGCACTCCAGGCTGGGTAACAATGTGAGACCCTGTCTCAAAATAATAATAATAATAATAATAATAATAAAAGCCAGAATATAATTGATCTACTTTCTTTTTTATTTTTCTTATTGTGTTCAAATATACAGAATATAAAATTTACTGTCTTAGCCATTTTTCAAGTGCATGATTCAGGGGCATTAAGTACATTCACATTGTTGTGTAACCATCACCACTGTCGATCCACAGAACTCTTTTTCTTCGGACAAAACTGAAATCCTGTACCCATCAAACAACAATGCCCTACTTCCCCCTTCCCCAGTCTCTAGCAACTACTATTCTACTTTCTGTTTCTATGAATTTGACAACTCTGTGTACCCCACGTAAGTGAAATTATATGGAAGTATTTGTCTTTTTGTGACTGGCTTATTTTATGTAACATAAAGTCTTCAGCTGGGTGCGGTGGCTCACATCTGTAATCCCAGCACTTTGAGAGTCTGAGGCAGGCAGATCACGAGGTCAGGAGATCAAGACCATCCTGGCTAACATGGTGAAACCCCATCCCCATCTCTACTAAAAATTTCAAAAAAAAAAAAAAAAGTTAGCTGGGTGTGGTGGTGCACACCTATAGTCCCAGCTACTCAGGAGGCTGAGGCAGGAGAATCACTTGAAACTGGGAGGCCGAGGGTTGCAATGAGCCGAGATTGCACCACTGCACTCCAGCCTGGGCGACAGACCGAGACTCCGTCTCAAAAAAAAAGAAAAAAAAAAGTCTTCAAGATTTATCCATGTTGCAGCATGTGTAAGAATTTCCTTCTTTAAGGCTGAATAATATTTCATTGAATGAATACACTATATTTTGTTTATACATTCGTTCATCAATGGACACTTTAATTTCTTCTGCCTTTTGGCTATTGTGAGTAATGTTGCTATCAACTTTGGTGTACAATATATATTTGAGACTCTGCTTTCAATTCTTCTTGATATATACCCAGAAGTGGAACTGCTGAATCACATACTCTACTTTTTAATTTTTGTGGAACCGCCATGCTCTTTTCCATAGTGGCTGCACCCATTTTATGTACACAAGAGTTCCAATTTCTCCCATTCTCAGCAAAACTTATTTTCTGCTGCTGTTTAAAAATAGAAACTACTCTAATGGGTATGAGGTAATATCTCATTGTGGCTTTTATTGAGCATCTTTTCATGTTATATTGTCCATTTGTATATCTTCTTTGAAGACATATCTATTTAAATCCTTTGACCATTTTTTAATCAGGTTTTTTATTTTTGTTGTTGTTGAGTTGTAGGAGTTCTTTATATATTTTGGATATTAACTCCTTGTTAGACATATGATTTGCAAATCATTTCTCCTATAATGTGGGCTGCCTTTTCACTATGTTGCTTGTGTCCTTTGATAAAAAGAAGTTTTTAATTTTGAAAAAAATTCTTTTTTTCCCTGTGTTTTTGATGTCATACCCAAAGAAACGAGTGAGAAATAGTTCAATTACTTTTAGCAAATTCTGTCTTATAAGTCAAATAAGATGATTTACAATGCAAAACAATTAGATTGCCTGGCTTGATTTTCTCATTCAAAACACAGAATATTAAAAATAAACAAAATTAAAGCTGGCAAACTCTGGGACTTTATTGAAACTTTAACTTTTGAAAAAGCATTACATTTTATTTGTTTAGTTAATTACTTTACCTGAGATTTCCAATTCATGTTTGGTTCATGGATGCTTTCAAACGCAAATAAAATGAGAACTCTTTTGAAGTCTACACCTATGTGTTACGTGTCTTTGTTTTGCCAAACCACCTGGCAGAGTTAATAGCAAAGCGTAGCTACTCAATATACCCTTAAAATCATATTAACCCAGGTGGGACTATTTGATAGTATTTACACCATATATTCATTTTATAGTTGAACAAATTGATATCTTGGGAGGCAAAATAATCTAAGTGATTAATACTGAGTACAAAATAGATACCTTGCTTGTACACAGAACAAAAATGCTTGGGTTTAGACGTTTAGATAGCCTGTCTGAACTAACAGGACAATGGATACCTGTGGGATGCAGGTATACATATCATGTTGTACTTTAATTGTGAGCAGGTAGTGCAAGAGGGACATGAAGATAAATGTCGGGTCCCCAAGAAAATTTATTCTGAGGGTTTATTCTTAGTCCTACAAGTGCTCCTGAAAACTCTCATCTTTTCCCTTGGGGGTTCCCACAAGTCATGCATCTCCCAGGTATTAGCAAAGTATAGTGACAGATGATGAGAAACCATGTGTGTAAATTGCCATCTTGGCCGACCAGGAGTCTTACTTTTTTTTTTTCCCCCTGAGACGGAGTCTTGCTCTGTTGCCCACACTGGAGTGAGTGCAGTTGTGCAATCTCGGCTCACTGCAACCTCCCCCTCTCAGGTTCAAGCAATTCTCCTGCCTCAGCCTCCCGAGTAGTTGGGATTACAGGTTCACACCACCATGCCCAGCTAATTTTTGTATTTTTAGTAGAGACAGGGTTTCACCATGTTGATAAGGATGGTCTCGAATTCCTGACCTCATGATCTGCCCATCTCGGCCTCCCAAAGTGCTGGGATTATAGGCGTGAGCCACCGCACCTGGCCGGCATCTCACTTTTAAACTCATTTTGTTTTATAACATTTACAGTAGTTTAGGACTTAAGGGGCCTTACAAGGCATTAGTTTTGCATGTCCTTCTTTTCAGACGGAGAAAAAGAGGCCAAAGGAGGCAATGACTTGATAGAAATAAACGGCCAGTAAGTGGTGTGGTCCAGATCCTAAAGGGACTCCCAGATCCAAACGCTTTTAATGTTATCCCTCTGTATTCATGGGGGATTGGCTCCAGGATCCCCAGTGGTGCCAAAATCTAAGGATACTTTAGTTCTTTATGTAAAATGGCATAGTATTTGCATTTAATCTATGCACATCCTCCTGTATACTTTAAGTAATCTCCTCCTGTATACTTTAAGCTAATACAGTGTAAATGCTATGTAAGTAGTTGTTATACTGTATTTTTAAAATTTGTATTATTTTTTGTATTGTTCTTTTTAAATTTTTTTGAATATTTTTTCATACATGGTTGGTTGAATTAACGAATGTGGAACCCATAGATAGAGAGAGCCAACTGTATATTGTTAGAAATGTCACCAGAGGCAAAAACAAAAAAGGAATTATAGATATGCATTCCAGGAACTGACTTTCTCTTTGTCTTCTAGAAGCTTGCTCACCCTCAGCCTTCCACAAAGCCAGAAAGTCTTTGGCTTCTTTTTTTTTTTTTAATACTTTAAATTTTAGGGTACATGTGCACAACATGTAGGTTTGTTATATATGTATACATGTGCCATGTTGGTGTGCTGCACCCATTAACTCGTCATTTACATTAGTTATATCTCCTAATGCTATCCCTCCCCCCTCCCCCCACCCCACAACAGGCCCTGGTGTGTGATGTTCCCCTTCCTGTGTCCATGTGTTCTCATTGTTCAGTTCCCATCTATGAGTGAGAACATGCGGTGTTTGGTTTTCTGTCCTTGCATAGTTTGCTGAGAATGATGGTTTCCAGCTTCATCCATGTCCTTCCAAAGGACGTGAACTCATCATTTTCTATGGCTGCATAGTATTCCATGGTGTATATGTGCCACAGTCAGAAAATCTTTGGCTTCTAACACTCTGACTCCCCCAAACCTACTGATAAAGCCATGAGGATCCTGAACATGGGGACTTCCTTACTGCAGCCTCAGGGCCCCTTTAGCTGAACCCACCAGAAATGCAATGGCTGGACTCTTTCCCAATTTTCTCCACTCTCAGCTACCTTTGATGAAAGGGGCTTCATTCTGTAAAGATTAGCATAGCTTGATACTGGAGGTATTCCTGTTGCTGTATTTACAAAAAATTGTATTGGCAAGATTGACAATTTTCTAAAATGCTCAAATTTATCTGACCTTACAAATAACATCCACTGGAAAATTATCAGACATCTGTGAGAGTCATTTTGGGTTGAATTAAATTTTTGATGTGCTGTGAAATTGGGTTAGTGCATTAGAATTACATTTTAATCGTTATGAATGCAGTCATGAAATGTTGTTCTTCCATGCAAATTGGCAACACTCCCAGACTTGAGGAAGCTTTGAAGAAATGAATTTCAAAATTCCTGATTAACAAATATGTACAAGAAGTCAGAAAGGACAAATCAAGAATTTTCTAATAATGTACACAATAAATTCTAGATTTATCTTACTATTATGATCTTAAATGGGTTATTTGCACTGAAAAAGGCAACATTATTCAATGCTTTGAGTAGAAGGCAGGAAATTTATAAAAGGAGAAGCTGATCTTTCTTCTTAGAGTTTGTGGTTCCAGTGAAGTCATTGTACTTAGTCAACAGTTTTCTGGATTGCTTAACAGAGTAAAAATAGGACAATGTGGAGACTCAGATTTCCACTGTATGTTATAAAGAACTTCTTAACAACACACTTCCTTATGAGGGAAAAAAATTCCATCTCATGCAGTATGGCTAAGCAGAAGTTGAACAACTATCTTTCAGGGATATTATAGAAGAGGGGTTTCCAATCTTTTGGCTTCCCTGGGCCACATTGGAAAAATAAGAATTGTCTCAGGCCACACATAAAATGCATTAACACTAATGCTAGCACATAAAATACACTAATACTAATGCTAGCTGATGAGCAAAAATTGCAAAAAAAAAAATTCGTAATGTTTTAAGAAAGTTTATGAATTTATGTTGGACCACATTCAAAGTCATCCTGGGCTGCAGGCAGCCCACAGACCGTGGGTTGGACAAGTGTCTTATAGAAAATATTGGATGAGAAGTGTACTAAATGACTCCCAAGACCCTTATGAATTTTAAGAGTGGGCTGGCGTAGTCCAAAAAATAGAGCCAATAGGTACCTGGGTTCCCTGGTTGAATCACTGATAAGTAATAAGTCTTAGAAATGAATTTTCACCTAACTGAATTTATAAGTTAGCAGTACTAAACTTACCTTTCTGGAACCCAAATAGAAGCTAAGGGAAAGACAGCTTTGGATGCAAAAGTAACTCAAGTGGAGCTGGAGGAACCTGGCAGGTTACACAAACTGAAACGCCTTGCAGGGCCAGCAGGTCCTCCGAAGCCAGGTATAAGACAGGAGTGTAGTGGAATTTGAGGGTCAGCTTCAGAAGATGTTCAAATGTGAAGCAATTTTGATTTCCTTTCTTATCAAATCATTGCCATCAACCCTAATCCTTTACATTAGGAACACATAGGAGATACACAAGAAAACCCTGGGGCAAATGGCCAAGACCACACAAGAAATCTTTGTTGGGGTCCAACCATGGCCCATCCCCAGTGAATGTTAGCACAGTAGAGTGTAGAGTTTTCTTCAGTATCTAAGAGCTTACACAAGGCAAAAGTGAATGTTCACCTTGGTATACCTCAATTTCATCACATCCTACATTCACATTGTGTCTCTTTTCCACCCTCCTCTTCCTTACCCCTACCCCTTAGTTCTTCCGGGGGATACCTGACTTCACCAGTGCCTCACATGCAGGACCTATGCTTCTGCCTCCTCTGAATCAAAATTTACCTAAATTATTCCTCATCCCTCTAGACCCTGTACATATGTTGTGGAGTGAATTAATGGCAAGATTTAAAGACAAACAGAAACATACTCTGGGTGCCTCTTTCATGATATTTGCATGGTAGTCAAGTTTTCTTAGAACTGAAAAACCATTTCATTAAATACCGGTTCCATAATTGTAAATTCCATGCAGGTAATCAGCAATTAAGGGCAATTTTTTTTCTTTTACTTTTTTTTGGAGGGGGGAATGGAATCTCACTGTTGCCCAGGCTGGAGTGCAGTGGCACGATCTTGGCTTACTGCAAACTCTGCCTCCTGGGTTCACACCATTCTCCTGCCTCAGCCTCCTGAGTAGCTGGGACTACAGGTGCCCACCACCACACCTGGCTAATTTTTTGTACTTTTAGTAGAGACGGGGTTTCACCGTGTTGGCCAGGATGGTTTCGATCCCCTGACCTCATGATCCACCCACCTCAGCCTCCCAAAGTGCTGGGATTACAGGCGTGAGCCACCGCGCCCGGCCAGGGCAATTGTTTATAAGGTATTCTTCCGTTGTGCATCCCCCATCCCACCAGGTAGGTCAGCCTCTCTACTTCTGTGCATAAACCTGGAAATGATGCAATGGAGATGATTTTAAAATCCCTTACTAAAATTTGTACTCATTCAACAACACTTAACCAGTTTCTTCTGTGGAGGAGCTATTGTACTCTTCAGCAAGTGGCATGACTGATCTATGGATAACATTATTATACTAAAGCAATTTTTTTTTCCTAAAATTTTATGCATTTATGGCCTCGGAGGCTAAGCCTATTATTTTTCCTTTATTGAGTATGATTTTGCTACATTTTGTAAGGAATTCATGTAAGTGTTATCTAACATTTAGACTGAAATGATTTTTCAGTTTGTTTGTAAGAAATACTTTTAAAAAGTTAAGAAGTCAGAAGTCTACAAGGCAATGGAGATGAAATATATAAACAAGGACTTGGTTTTAAGAGTTGTAATCACAACTGCTAAAATTAAATCAACTTACCAGAAGCTTCTGAAAACAAAAATATATGCAAATACCATAAAATATATGCATTTATACCACAAAAACCCAAACACAGGAACCTATGGTAGCCATTTTTTCTGTCAAAAACCAAGGCAAAACTGATTTGCTTCCACTGAACCAAAGCTGTGAAATAGAATAGGGATGATCAAAGCATGCATTTTCTCAAACTTTCTCTTCTACCAAACCTTTCAACCGAACTGTTAGAGAAGATTAAAACTGAAGTTTCATCCTCTTTTGCCCTTTGTCTAATCAGTACTTGGGAGAGAAAATAACATAGGTAGGATTCCTTGGTTTGCTGGGTAATTGAGACTCAGCTAAAAACAAAAACTTTTGCAGTATTTATAGACGATGACAACTCCAATTTTGAAAACTAGAAGGCAGTGATTAAAATAATTTGTTTTTCTCCTCTCATCTCAAGAATGCGTTTTACTTGTATTAAGGAGGAAAATGGAGGTCAATGTCCAATATGCTCACCTTAAAAAGTACCTCTTGGTCAGGTGGGTGCAGTGTTCTGGGAAGTCTTCACAAGCCTCCTCCACCTCAGAGAGCTCCTTGCTCTTTAGAAGAGAGGACCACTGTCCTTGGGCAGGAAAGACCCTTCTCCTACAGCTGGACAATGGACAGGAAGCAGCTTGGAGCTGACTTTCTCTGCGCCACCTGCCAAAGGCTCCTCAGTAGCATTGCTAGAATCCAGCGCCCAGATTCGGCGCTTGTTGAAGTCAAAGTTTTTTTTCCATCTCCCTTTTGAAAATATAGAAAATGACCGAGATGAAAAAAACAGTGGCAGCCATTAAATAAAAGATAACAAAAATGGCCAAAGCAAGCGTGAGATCCACAATGAAAATAATCAGTTTTGCCAACATGTTTGCATTTCTTCTCATTCACAGAATGCATTTCAAAAGTCCCAAAGGCATCTACCACGTGATTATGTCTTTATAAAATGTGGGCAGGAATAAGGACATTTCTAAACATGCTAAAGAGTGTTGTAATTCTTCCAAGTATCTACCAGGAAGGCTGGTTTAATGAAAGTTTTGATTTCCCAACTGGTACAAAACAGTGGCTAAAGGTAAAGTGTGGAATATTGCTTCACTGTGGGGACTCTAATGGGGAGAAGTCCAAGAATTTATTTCATCCCACAACTGTGTAATTACTGATTCACTTGGATTTTAATTTCCACAGGGTATAGACACACTAATGTGCATTTGTAGCATAAAAGGCTATTATAGATATCTGATGTTTCTTAGAAAATTAAAATGTGCCAGTCCAGTGTAAATGGAAAATAAAGCCATTTTCAGACATGCAAAGCTTCAGAAAGTTTATTTCTCTTGTGTATGTTTTTTTTAAAAGTTACTAGAGAATATAATTCAATAAATTATTGTGTTTGCTGAAAGGGAAAGACTTGGCATGTAAGAAACTGCAAATTTATCCAATAGAGCAATGAAATTAAATCCCAGAATCATAGCTCAGCAGCAGACATAGAAGGCAATAAATTCAAATTAGAAAAGGAACTTAGTGAGCTACCAGAGACAGTCTTTAAGAAGACAGTCACTTTCCTATGTTAAGTGGTATGATGAAAAGGCATGACAATCTAAAAATAAAATGGCCAGTATACATCTTAGTTAACAAGGTAAATGAAAGGTAATAAGAGAATTCAAGAAAAACCACAACATTGAATAATGAGCCATGATCCTCATATGAAACAAACTAAACTGAAGCACAATTCTGAGAAACTGATAGAATACAGGAAATGAGAATTTATTTGTCCTTAATATTCAACGTTTCTTCTTTAAGTAGCACAGATTGAGAGTGGGAGATTGTACTTCCAAAGGGTTCAATTACACTGCTTGATTGTACAATGAAATTGCCAGACTCATAATATTTCAAATACTGTCACATGTTTTACATTTCTAGAGACCTAAAACAAGACAAGAAAATTAAATTTATTAAAGTGATAGAACAGAATAAAAAGGTTATGAACCTTAACAATTTAAAAGTAATTATTATAGCTTGACAAAAGTTTGGAGGCATAGTGGGAGAGGTGGAGAGAAGTGAGGGAATATTAGTTTCCACACCTTGCATAGCTGGAATTCAAAGGATATTGTCTAATACGAGTGTAAGAAAAGAAGAGTAGGTATAGTTTTCAAAATAATAAAGAAGACTAATGGGAGACCTAAAAATACATATTTAATGAGATTTGTAAGATAGAATGGGTAGCACAAGATGTTAAATTCTTCATCTTTTTGGCAGGAAACTAGCAAATACTGTTTAAAATTGCTAAACAAAAAATTTGATGTATTTAGCATATTATCTAGATCTTCACTGTCCAATATGATAGCCACTAGCCACATGTGGCCATTGAACACTTGAAATGTAACTAATCTGAATTAATATGTGCTATAAGTATAAAATACAGTTAAGATAAAACATAGAATTTAAAATATTCATTTTTTAATGTTGACTATATGTGAAATAATAACATTGTGGATAAATGAGATTACATAAAATGTATCATGAACATTATTTTCACCTATTCCTTTTTGCTTTTTAAAATGTGGCTACTAGACAGATTAAACATGGTTCACATTATGTTTCTATTGAACAGCAGTGGTTTAGAATTTCCAAGCTAATCACCACAAGAACCAAAACTAAAAAATGTTAAACATAGTCCTCTTTGGAAAGTAGGACAGTTGTAGGGAGAGAGGAAGACTTTATATTTTTATTTTGTGCCCTTTGGTGTAGCCTGAATTTTTATTATCAAGTCCATGCATTTATTGAATGAAATACACATAAAACATAATGTACAATGAATAAAAATTATGATACATTTTTAAAGAGTGTATTAGCTAGGTGAATTGAAAGCAAAAATCAAACAAATGAAATGAGAAGAGTAATTTAGACAAAATGTAAAAACAACACACCTATAGGAAAAGAATGAAAAGGAAGTGTAGATAATTGTAATTATATTTTAGATATGAAATGTATTATACTCTACATTTTAGATATTAAATTTAGATTTTAAAATGTATTATAGTAATCAATAGTGCATTTTTTAAACTTAAGATCCAGTTTTAGAAATCACTGGGTAGTTTTCCACATATTACATTAAATAATAATTTTTAATAGCCAGTAGAAAATGGCATTGCAATGGTTAATACAGTGTACTTAGCTTTATGCTTAAGTAATACACACATGCTCCAATTTAACAAAGAGATAAATTTGGCAGTAATTTTTCTCACTAAAGAAGCTTGTCCTCAACTAAAAGAACCAATGGAGAATTTCAGAATTGAACACCCTCAAGTATTACCTCAAATTCAACTCCCTAATTTCACAGTACTTCTAGAGAAGTAACAAAGGCAGGGAAAGAATCTAGATTTTTCTAACTGCAATTTTTAAAGATTGAAGGAAAGTAAATTCACATGCAACATTTAATAAAATCAAATGTAGAGTCAACATTTCTCAGGAACATTAAGTAAAACTAAATAAATATTAGTATTAATTGGAAAAAATATTGAGTTCAGTCTTTCATAATGAAGTACTCTTCATTATGAGGGAGAAAACTCTGTTCCTTTAAGAATTTGTTCCATCAAAAATGCCTGTAAAATTGTCAGAGGAGCAGACAGAAATGTAACATCCGTATTAATCAACTGTCCTTTTGAATACTTGTTTTTAAATATGCTCCACTGTGTGATTTTAAAAAGAGAGGAATATATCCCACTTTCACTTTCAGTTGTCTTAATTTCCCTTTAGATCATCCTTCCTTTGGCCAAAACTTTGTTTTCTACTGATACTTGCATACAATTGCCTATGCTAATAGATTAAATTTCCTCAGCCTTTAAGGTACCTGATGGTAAATTTTAATTAAAAATAACTTCTTTTAAAGAATAGATTTTGAAAGGAAAGATAGAAAAGATTAAAAGATAGGAAAAGAGGAAAGGGGAATTGAGGCATTAAGAAACATCATGAAATTGAAGGCCAGGCCCGGTGTCAGGAGCCTGTAGTCCCACCACTTCGGGATGCCAAAGCTGGAGAATCACTTGATTCCAGGAGTTTGAGACCAGCCTGGGAAACATAGTGAGATCCTGGTCTCTATAAAAAATAAAAAAATAAGCCGGGCATGGTGGCTCATGCTTGTAGTCCCAGCTACTCCGGAGGCTGAGGTGGGAAGATCACTGGAGTCCTCACTGCACTCTATCCTGGGAGACAGAGGGAGGCTGTCATTGAAAAAAAAAAAAAAGAATTCAAAAAAAAGAAAGCAATACAGAACAGTTGGGCTCAGAGAAGATTATAGCAAACTTCACCTACTCTACAGATTTGGATCTCCAGGTGCCTGGCTAGTGAGAGACCATGAGGGCATGAATTGGGATTGTGGCTTTTCATGTCCTTCCACATAAAAGCAAGTGTGATTTCAATTGTAGATTGATTTGTGGCTCAAGACTAAAAGGATCACAGAAATTCTTTTTATCAAGTTCAAGAACTTTGGGTTCTTATCATAGAACAGATTTATGTAAAAGTTTTTAGATCTGAACTAAGTGTGGTAGAGAACAGTGCTTTAAGATATAAAGTAGTTTGCTGACATATATTTTATTGATGGATGAGTTTTTTCTGAATATAAATCAGATCTTATTTTTGACTGCCAAAAATCACGTTTAACTCTTCACCCTAAAGAGCTCCCAAAATATACTTCCAATTATTTAAGATGCATTTTAAACCAGTAGCAATGAAGACTTGAGTCAATTTTAAACTACTGCAGTTAACTCTTGCAGCTAAATCACCCATTTAATATCTCTTACTTTTCAGATCATCAAATCCCATAAGACTTACTATAAATCTTTTCACTTCCACCCCAAAATGACTTGGGCAGATACATTGTGAATTAAATGATGCTATAACTTGATTTATGTACATCTGGACTTTCAACCCAATGGCTTCCCAGAACTCAATCAATCTTTATGAAGTCCTGGTAACGTACTCCAAAAGAACTGCAATGCAGTGACTTATAAATGAAGCCTGGATTTTTGCCAATGTTACTAAATAAGGAGCTGTACGACCTGGCCCATGCTTTATAGCTGCTGAAGGAGGAGCAATTCCACTCTGGGCTCAGCAGCTCCCTGGGCTATGTTTCCTGCCCTCTCAAGTCAACTACCATGCCCTGAAATGACTTTTAATTTTTTTCACTGTGCCACTGCTGAGAAAAGTAGAAAAGAGTTTCAATGCTTAGACTCCTTGAATATTTCTTTTATAGAGTTAGTTGAAGCTTCTACAGCTTGCTTGTATTTTCACCCTATTAATTTATTCAGATAGGAGCCTCCTTATGCCTAATATAATGTAATTCAGTAAGTCTGATCATTGTATTATCATTCCCAATATTAGGGGACTCTCCATCCTTATAAAGGATTAAACTTTCCTTCCCCATTGACATCAGGCTTGCTTTGGCCAATGAAATGTGGTCAGAAATGTCAGAAGCCAGTTCTGAGCAAAAGCTCTAAGAACCACTCTGTGGTTTCACATCATTTTCTTCTCACAGCCAGGGGCCTGGTAGGTCCCAGGTAGGGGCTGCTCATTCAGCCCGCATGGGCTTGAGATAAAGAGCCTAAGTCAATCTGTGATTGACATGTAAAATGAGAAAGAAAGAAAACTGTTTCTTGTTGTAAGCTACTAAGATTTGGAGGTAGGGGGTGTCTGGTTACTGTAGCATAACACAGCACAAGCTGACTGATACAATAAGCATCCTATATAGAAACTGTAAGAACTGCTTGAACAGGAGTAAACCAAGAAAGCTCAGCAAAGCTTTAGCTAAAGAGAGCAATATCTTATTTTCTTAAGATTTGAGACTTCTACACTTCTGTCCTATCATGCTTACGTATCCTTGGGAAAATATTGGAGACTGGGCAAGCTGCTTTCAGGAATGCTATATTGCCTATACTTGCAATCATCTAGTAATTTCCTTTTTCTTGCCAAAGTGAAGATAGGTCTGGAATCTTAAAGTCTGAAGACCACTCTCTTTCCCCTTCTTCCTTGAGGTCAGCATTAAACTGGCCACTATAGACTTCTCAGATGAGAACTTGTATCTGGGAAGAGTCTTGCAAGAGCAGGCTGACTCTATTCTGAAGCCTACAGAGATGGGTGGGCATGAAATTCCAGATAGCACTGTGGTCAAGTGCAGAGAAATATCTGTGGTATACCAGCCTACCACAGTCTCTGTGTAGACCAGTCTAGATGGCACTTATATTCAAGGGGAATGTAATTTTTGGCAAGTCAGGAATTATCCGAAGAAAAATGGAATGTAACTCAAGGAAGACCATCAGGCCACAAATCATTAATACCTTGGTTTTAAATTCAGTTGCATCTTTAATAGCTTGTTATATAAACTTTAATGTCTATTTTTACCTCTAAAAATGATGATGCAATGATTGTGTGAGTTTTTCAGACTATCTGAGTTTTAATTCCAGCTAGCTTACTTGTTGTATATCCTTGGGAAGCAACTTAACTTTTTTCTATTTCAGTCTCTTTTGCTGGAAAAGGGGGACAATAATAATACCTACCTCATATGGCCATTACAAGATTAAATAATTTAATAAGTATAAAGTGCTGGAAAAGTGCCTTGAATATTCAAACTTAAATTGGCAGTATTAATGATCTTGCCTATCTTAAAAAGTTGCTTAGACTATCAGGTGCATAGAAAGAACTTTACAAACTTTATGAAGCATTATTTTCATATATATATATATATATATATATATATATATATATATATATATATATATATATATATATTTAGAGACAGAGTCTCAGTATGCCACCCAGTCTGGAGTGCAGTGGTGCAGTCATAGCTCACTGCAGCCTCGAACTCTTGGGCTCAAGCAATCCTCTTGCCTTAGCCTGCCAAGTAGCTGGGACTACAGTTGCACACCACCATGCCCAGCTATGTATTTATTTAAAAAAAATTTTTTTAGAGGTGGAGTCTTGCCGTGTTACCCAGACTTGTCTCAGATTCTGACTTCAAGCAATCCTCTTGCCTCAGCCTCCAGAGTTGCTGGGATTAGAGGTGTGAGCCACCATGCCCAGCTGAGGCATCATTTTTGTTGCTCCTTATTTCTCACTATACTGTACAATGCAACTTATTTTTCTTTGTTTGCAACTCTTCAAGGGGTAGCAATAATTGAAGATACTCAATTAATTAGTTTGAAGAGGCCAGTATCTTCTTGTGTGACCACTGGAATCAGAAACAATTTATCTCCACAAATCTGTCTGAAAATGCATGTCCAATATGGTAAAATATTCTCCATTTTGTTGATCATTTGTGTCAAATTTTAATCCCAAGGTGACTTCCTTTTCACAGCTGGACATCTTTCTAAACCATGAAGACTGATTTGACTAAACTAACACTAGGATGATAAATCCCATCACAGATAAAAAAGAAAAAAATCCATTCTGCATGCCTAAAGCAATACTTTAAAGAGACTTTGCTATTTATTAACTGTTCATATTGCTGCTTTTTTGTTTAGCATAGCTAATGCTCCTTTTGAAAACTATTTTGAATTTTATGGAAGTTTATTGCAAATTATCTTTTTATTTTATAAACTGTATTGGTCCGTTCTCATGCTGCTATGAAGACATACCTGAGACTGGGTAATTCATAAAGAAAAGAGGTTTAATTGACTCACAGTTCCACATGGATAGGGAGGCCTCAGGAAACTTACAATCATGGCGGAAGGGGAAGCAAACATGTTCTCCCTCACATGGTGGCAGGAGAGAGAAATGTAGAGTGAAAGGGGAAAATGCCTCTTATAAAACCACCAGATCTTGTGAGAACTCACTCACTATCACCAGAACAGCATGAGGGTATTGCCCCCATGATCTAATCACTTCCCATGTGGTCTCTCCCCCAACATGTGGGGATTACAACTAGGATTACAGTTCAAAATGAGATTTGATGGGGACACAGAGCCAGATCATATAACAAACTTCAAGAACTATTCCCAAATATTTCTCATTTCTTTTCCAAAAGATAACTGTGGAATAATTCTACCAAATGTTACAGAAATCAATGTATTCTGAGGAGTTTCTGGACATCCTCTATTTTTAAAGACCCCTGTTCCAGTGGGTATCTGTATCTCCTCTGCATTTGGATGTCTTTTCGGATCAGCTGAGCAATATCAGAGATCTATTGAATCCTTTCAACCTTCATATAAAAATGGCACGTTGGCCATAGCTTTGGCCTAGAACACAAAAATTGAGCACTTCAGTTCAACAAGACAATGATAAGTGGTGGAGCTCAGACAAGAGAGACAAAGAAATGACACTGCCATCTTTTGGAGAATTCAGAAGTTAGGGGTATGTTTTTGTCTTGTGCTCTTTCTGGCAAATATTTTCCCCTTATGCGTCATCTTGTCTTTTGCTAGGCATTACACATAGCAACAGCACCACCTATTGCCTATTCTGTTGGTTTGCTGTCACGAGGATTTTCCTAACGACTCATATACAGATACAGAGGATGCAGCTCACAGTTTCACTTTAATCGCCCTACCTTTGTTATCTTAATGAGCATCTTTATTGTACAGCAGTTTTATGGTTAGCTCAAAAGCTCACCACTATTAAAAAGATATTTTAAAATAAACCATTTCTTAGCTCCTAAACTCTCTCTTCTTCAAAATAACAAATTGTGTCAGTAGAGGGTGAATAAGTGATTCATCTTAGGAGGGATCTAAAGTTAACTTTAATAACACAAGCTAACTAACTAACCTAATTCTGTTTTATTTCCTTAGCCTCAAGTATTGTTTCTGCTTTCAGGAATAGACATGCTAGAGTTATGAGTTGATGTCAACTTCTTTTTTTAAACGCAACTACTCTTTTTTAAGTACAACTACAAGTTGTACTTGGTATTTGTGTACAATAGAATCTTGGGAGAACTTTATGAATATGTTATTTATTTAAAGATCCTTATTGGAGAAAGCATGGAAATTCTATTTTATTCCTACTTTTGCAGAATTGTGAAATAGACTGGATGAAATATGAGTCAAGATTGCTTTGAAGTTGGGTGTAATGATCTTCAGACCCAGAATGACTTCTAAAGAAATAATTAAAGTGAGCACTAATAGTCTTACCTACAGCTTCCTGATGTTGGGCCACATAAAAGCAATGACTCACACACAATAAGGGATGTGAAATGTTTGAAAAACAAGGGAAGGGAAGATGGAATTAGTACAGAGACTATCAAATCACAGCACAGGAAGTGCAGGCTCAAAGCAGAGCCTAGGACAGGGATCCCTCTGTGTGTGTGATGTACCGAGAAAGCACTCTTCAGGGTAAACCCTCAAGGGGATTAAAAGGGATGAGAAAGGATTGCAAGGATGTGGTCTTAGGTAAGGTCTAGCCTCAGGCAGATCCCATAGGGAGAGCTCTAAAACATAAGCCGTATCACAGATTTATGTCCCTATATCACTCAGTCACTGGCTGTTTGTCCATGGTTACACAGAGGGAAGACAAAACTTTCCTGGCAAGACACCCCTTCTGCACTGAAAGTAGTCCTCTGGGGAAAGAGTGGCTGGAAGCCATTTGGCATCTAACCTTCACAGCAACTGGGTGATGGGCATATGGAATGCCTAGGAACTGAAGGTAGACTTCAGACAAGAGTGCGAGTGGAAAGAACCCAGGCTGTTGCTGATGAGCTACACGAAGGCATTAAAAGCAAAAGACAAGGAAAGGACTGATGGGAGACACAACTGCTTTTTATTCTTAGCTAACACGTGGACAAAGCAGGGGTTAGGGGGACTGACCCCCTGTACAGTCTAAAATCTGTGTATAACTTTAGACTCCCTCAAAACTTAACTAGTAATAGCCTACTGTTGATTAGAAGCCTTACTAATAACATAAACTGTTGATTAACACATATTTTGTATGTTATGTGTATTATCTACTGTAGCCTTATAATAAAGTAAGCTAGAGAAAGGAAAATGTTATTAAGAAAATCCTACAGAAGATAAAATATATTTACTTTCCATCAGGTGGTACTGGGTCATTATAAAGGTCTTCAGTCTCATCATCTTCACATTGAATAGGCTGAAGAGGAGGAGGAAGATGAGAAATAGGTCTTGCTCTCTCAGGGGTGGCAGAGGAGGAAGAGATGAAGGAGATGAAAGGGGAAACAGGAGAGGCAGGCACACTCAGTGTAACTTTCATTGAAAACTTGTATATAAGTGGGCCTGCACAGTTCAAATCCATGCTGTTCAAGAGTCAGCTGTGTATTATCAGTCAATTACGTTTAAAATAAAACTTTGAAGCTAGACATATAATTCATTGCAAGCTTATTTCTAATTTAACCAGACTAGTTAGAGTTATAACCCCTCACCCCAGAGATTAATTAGAATTTTTTCCTGCCAGAGGATCATGAGCAGGTGCCTCAACCATTTATTTTGTAGATAGCTCTGAACCAAATTTAATCCTAGGCTAGGAAGAAAGACAACATAGAAGAATGACCCTTGTGTCTAGAATCACATAACTTACTTCAGCCTTGGCTAGCTCAATTTAAAATGGATGTAAGAAACTGTATTAATCAGTGTCCCAACATAAACCAAAGGGAATTCTCACAATAGGATAATTCCAAGAAGTTTAACAAAGGGGCTGTTTACAAAAGTTTGGGTATAGGGGAACCACAATAGAGGGTAAAGTTGGTTGCAGCCACAATGATGAAGGAAACGAGTGGTTCCCAGAACACAGAAGGAGAGACTCCTGTAGAGTTTGCTGCCTTGCAAGGAATGGTGACTTTTAGCAGAGGGACAGAGCTAGCCCAGGATAATCTGTATCTTCCCTCCCTCCAATTTTTTGGGGCTCCCTATTGGCCCAGAGCAAACAAACAAAGTCAGAGGACACAGCAGTTCCACAAATGTAGCCAGCATAGGTCTGACTTCCGGGGAGGAGAGCAGGATGAGAAAGGAAGAGAGAGGATCTTTATCTTAAGGGGCAAATGGAAGATGTCAGGCACAATTACTGAGGTGTCACAAGGTCCAAACTTCAATCATGGGCATCAAAGCATTTTGTAATCCACAGATGGCTATTGATACATGGGATAGTGGTTACTTGGTTGTTGTTTATTTGTATTCTTGCCAAGCCCCTTCTGACTTAGGAAGCAGTTTTTTAATAGATAGGAGATTCTGTGGAATTAAAAAGAATAAGAATTTGTCATCAACACTTGAGAGAGTTGGCTTGGACATCTTTAGAACTTTCCTCAATAATGAGCCATGTTTTTCCAACTTTTTCAGTATCTATTGATTCTTTGTTTTCAAAACTGAGCAAATTAGTGTAGAAAACAGGCCTTTATCTCCAGAGTTTAGGAGATTACATTTTTAAATTTTATATTTATAATCTATTTGCAATCATAATGTCCATAGAGATTTCATCTTAGTTTCATGTTTAAATGCATTTGAGATTTACTCTCATTTTATTCAACATTTCTTTTCCTGAGTTCTTCATTTTTTTTCAACTCCAAATTGACTGGACTTGATCCTCAGGAATTTCTTTTTTTCCAAAATGAATTCTTAGGCATGACAGGTTGTATACTTGAAAGGTTTGTTTTATTTTTACGTTTGAAGGGAAATTTAGGGGGTATAAAATTCTTGGGTCACAGTTTTTTCTTCTCAGTAGTTTATAAATATTACTCTAATCTTCTGGTACTTATTATTTCTGGAGGGAGACAGAAGCTAACTTTTTCCCCATGTATGTCACTTACTTTTTCTGTCTATGATTCCCATATGATTTTTTATCCTCAAACCTCTGTAATTTCAGCAGGATATATGTTGGTGTCTGTATTATTTCATTTTCATGCTGCTAATAAAGACATGCCTGAGACTGGATAATTTATAAAGGAATGAGGTTTAATGGACTCACAGTTCCACATGGCTGGGGAGGACTCACAATCACAGAGGAAGGCAAAGGAGAAGAAAAGGCACATCTTACATGGTGGCAGCAACAGAGCTTGTGCAGGGGAACTCCATTTGTAAAATCATCAGATCTTGTAAAACTTACGCACTACCGTGAGAACAGTATGGGGGACCTGCCCCTGTGATTCAATTATCTTCACCTGCCCCACACTTGACATGTGGGGATTTTTACAATTCAAGGTGAGATTTGGGTTGGGACATAGCTAAACCATATCAGTGCCCATTAGAGGCAGACTGATGCCCCCTCTCCCCAAAGATAGCCACATCTTAATCCCTAAAACTTCTGCATATGTAACCTTACATGGAAAAGCGACTTAGTAGATACAATTAAGGATTTTGAAATAGTGAGATTGTCTTAGATTAATCTAGGATGTGTAATCACAGTGTCCTTACAAAAACAAACAAACAAACAAACAAACAAACACCAGAAGGGGACATGAGGATGAGAGCAGGGTTAAGGAGAAATTTGAAGATGCTACACTGCTGGCTTTGAAGATGAAGGGGCCCGAGGCAAACAATACAGGTAGCCCCTAGAGGCCAGAAAAGGCAAGGAAATTATTCGCCCCTGGAGCCTCCAGAAGAAGCCCTGCTGCCTCCTTGATTTTAGCCCAGTGAAAGCCATTTTGGGTGTCCAACATCCAGAACTACAAGATAATTAACTTGTATTGTTTTAAACTGTTAAGTTTGTAATAATTTATCACAGCAGCAATAGGAAACCAACAGAGTCCACCAAAACATAGCTCCCTATAGTTCCCTTTGTATGTCTTCTCTGTCAATTCCTTTATAATTGTTTTCATTGCTCTTTTCCATTTTGTTTTGTGTGATTTTTTTCAAGCCTGTCCATCATGATTTTGATTACACTTTCCACAGTGATGTTTCAATACCTGTTATTACTAGTGGGCCCTTTATCTCAGGAATGCTTTTATATTTTCATTCTGTTTTTTTCCTTAGGCTCTGCAAGATGATTTTTCATCTACTTTGTCTTACAAAGTTGTTGTTTGAACTCTTATCTTATGTTTGGGGGGTGTTTGATGACCCCCCCCAAAAGGGGTGATGTTTGTTCCTTTTTCTTTCTTTCTTTTGGAGTCATCATGGTGCATGTAATTTCTTTGAAAATATGGGGACCTATAAGTTTCTCTAGGACTCCTCTTGTTATACACCACATTTTCTTCATCTACCTTTTACTTACATTATATCCTTCCCTTATTTTTATTTAGTGGTGTCTATCAACAAGTCTCAAACTGGTACCTAATGAATATGCATTTTGAATGAGTACAGATATATGCTACATAACTTGTAGGGGAATAAATCAGGAATGTTCTGTGACAGTCTGGCTCTAATAAAATCTGTTGTTTCTGGCATCCTTTTAATACATATGATTTTCCCTTGGGCCTCTCACGTATATCTCTACTTACAGCCTTCAAGAAATTGGTATGGTTCACAACTAAATTTTTTAATTGCAAGCTGTCATTTGAAATTGACAGTCACTGCCTCTTTTTTTCAGCATTGCAACCAGAGTTCTTGCATCTCGCTTTAAGACTGGTAATGCATGGCCGTTTTTGTGCAGATTTCAGTTTGGGGCAACTGTGTTTCAATGATTTGAGGTTGTAGCCCCTTTTTCTTTCTTTTTTTATACAGTTTTAAAAATTGAGACAATTTACATAATATAAAATTCACCCTTTTAAAATGTACAATTCAGCAGTGTTTTAAAAAATATTTACAATGTTGTGCAGCCATCAGCACTATCCAATTCCAGAACATTTTTTTTTTTTTTTTTTTTTTGAGACGGAGTCTCGCTCTGTCGCCCAGGCTGGAGTGCAGTGGCGGGATCTCGGCTCACTGCAAGCTCCGCCTCCCGGGTTCACGCCATTCTCCTGCCTCAGCCTCCCGAGTAGCTGGGACTACAGGCGCCCGCCACCACGCCCGGCTAATTTTTTTGTATTTTTAGTAGAGACGGGGTTTCACCGTTTTAGCCGGGATGGTCTCGATCTCCTGACCTCGTGATCCGCCCGCCTCGGCCTCCCAAAGTGCTGGGATTACAGGCGTGAGCCACCGCGCCCGGCCTCCAGAACATTTTTATCACCCCAAAAAGAAACTTTATACCTTTTGGCAATTACTTTCCATTTCCTCCTCCCCCTCGTCCCTGGCAACCATTAATTTACTGTCTCTGTGTGTTTGCTTATTCTGGACATTTTGTTTAACTGGAATCATACAATATATGTTTGTGTGCATGTGCGTGTGTGTGTGTGTTTGTGTGTGTCTGGCTTTTTTCACTTAGCAGAATGTTTTCAAGGATCATCCACATTGTAGCATATATCAGTACTTCATTTTTATTACCAAATACTCCTCCATTGTGTGAATATGTCACATTTTATTCATCTATTCATTTTTTGATGGACATTTGAGTTGTTTCCACTTTTTGGCTATTATAAATAGTGATGTCACCATGAACATTTGTGTACATATTTTTGCATGGACATGTTTTTAGCTCTCTTGCATACTCTTCTCTTTTGAAGATTTTCCCCCTCTGTTTATTACTCTTTTTTGTTATGTTTCAAGAGGGAATTGAAATAAAAATGTTTTTACCTTTCCATCCTTAATCAAAAATACCCCTATCTTATCTAAACCACAGTTATGAAAACCAAAATCCAAAAGCTTACGTAAATTGCTGAAGGGCATCGGTCAGTTAACAATAGAACTGGGAATAGAGGGCTTTTTGACTTTATGACAGACCATTTTATTCTCACTTTCCATTGTGTTCCCATAATAACTTGATTATTTTTCCTAAATCCTTCAGTTAGCTATTGCTGCATAATAGAACACCTTTATGTTTAGCAACACAAAACATCAACCATTTATTCTTTCTCTGGAGTTTTCAGGTCAACTGTGTGGTTCTGCCGATCTGAGCTAGGTCTGGTGGGTCTCACTCCCTCATTTTGGTCAGCTGCTGGTTGGACAGGTAGCTTTATTGATTGTTGCTGTGCTCTTTGACATATCCAGGATCTTGGCTGGGATGACTTTATTGCTGCTTCTCATGGCCTCTCATCTTCCAGCAAGCTAGCCTAGACTTGTTCTCATGGCAAAGGCAGGGTTTCAAAAGAGAGAAAAAATATGCAAGTTCTCTGGAGGCCTGGGCTCAGACCTGGCACACCATCCCTTCCTTATACTATGTTGGTTCAAACTAGTCACATGGCCGGGACCAAATTCAAAGGGTAGAGAAATAGACTCCACCTCTTCCTGATGGGAGGTGCTGCATCTTAGTCTGTGTGGGTGTTACAGCAAAATACCATAGTCTAGGTGGCTTATAAACAACAGAAATTTATTTCTCACAGGTCTAGAGACTGAGAAGTCCGAGATCAAGGTATCAACAGATTCAGTGTCAGCTGAAGGTTCACCTTCTGGTTCATAGAGGTTGTCTTCTCACTGTGTCCTCCTATGATAAAAGGGGTTGAAACCATCTTTGCAAAAGTTATATCAGTGAGAAAATTATAACTGTAAGCTGAGATAACCCAACCCCAGTCTTGCCTTCCCTTAATTATTTCTGGGCTATTGGGCCAAGCTAAATTTGGAAGGCACTTAGGCTGTAGTGTAAATGATAATAGACCTTGCTTTTATAAAGCTAATAGGAAGTCATCAAGCTGGAGGAAGGAGTGGAGCCTGAGTCCTGCTAAGGTGCAGACATAAACAATTGTCAGCCATTTTGCTGATGTTATAAGATATGCATCTTCTGCAACTACTCCTGTGAATATCACCGCTGTTATAGATTGGCCTTTTGAGATATCTTTCCACTTTTTTTGCATGTCTGACATCTGTGGCTCCACCTGGACTGCCAACCCAGCTCCTATGGCCCTACCTGGTAGCCATTCAGCCATCAGGAGGACAGTTTCAACCTCCTGTGATTTCATCTCCTTCCCAGCCAATCAGCAGCACCTGTTACCTGGCCACCTCCACCCCTTCCACCAAAATGCCTTTGAAAAACCCCTAACCTACGAGCTTTGAACAAGATGATTTGAATACGTACTCCATCTCCCATGTGGTGTTGCCAGCCTCATGTCTATTAAACTCTTTCTGTATGACAATGCCTGGTCTTTCTTTATGCAGTGGACAGGAAGAACCCCTCAGGTGGTTGCAGGGTGACTGAGATCTCTAGGCCCATTTTTAGAAGGCCACTAATCCCATCCCTGAGGACTCTGCCCTCATACCCTAGTTACCCTCAAAGGCCTCCCCTCCTAATACCACCACCTTAGGGGTTAGAATTTCAACATATTAGTTTTGTGGGGACACAGATCATTGCAGGCTGCATGCGCACATAATGTGGATACAGGAAGGGGTGAAAAATTGGCGTCTTTTGGCAAGTAATCTACCACAGTGCTTGTACTAGGAATTATCTTGCAATAATCATATGAGAGTTGACAGGAAAATGACAAAGAAAAAATAGTTTGAAAAAAGATAAAATTAGCACTGTGTATGGAGTTCTTATTGGAGTCAAATACCTATTTAGGGCTTTCTAGTAACACTTTATTCCAGATAGACTGGTATGCAGGCTGTCCTTCAAATCTACTCCTAATTCTCCTGGTCTCCACCATGGTTTGATGGTGCTTCTTATATGGCATGGTGTTCTGCCTTTCCAAATTCCACCAGCTCTGGACTCTCAGCAGCATCTAGAATGTTCCTCTTATAACACATGTGGAAGTTGATTATACAAATTTTGCCATTCTTGTCATACCCAGCTAAATCAGAGTTGAGGGGCCAGGAATAAAAAGCACATGGGACACATAGCACCTGATCCAAAAGTTTTATTTTCCACAGGCCCAGCTGCTGAAACAGCCTGCTGTAGCCCTAAGACCAGTTTTATCTCATAGCTATTGAAATGACCTGCCTTGAGTCTAACTAGTCTAGTTTCACCTTCCACCATCACTTACTATTCAGAACTTGCCAGCTCCCAAAAGCTTCCTAGTGCCAATGAGCTTTCCTTCAAAACAGTGTACAACATTTCCCTTTCTAATAAAAGCCCCAATCTTCAGGCCTACTGAAGACGACCCAGTCTGTGTGTATACTCCAAATTGCAATTCTGTGATTCCCAAATAAAACATTCAATTTAGAGATTTGTCTCTGTATTTTATTTTGACTTTGACACACATTCCTATAATAAATTTACATGCCTGCTCACCCCATCCTGCCCCACTAGACCAAAAACTCCTTGATGACAGAAGTATTGCCTAATACCACTTTGAATCATCTAGACCATAGAAGCAGTTTAATAAATGTTTGTGAAATTAATAAATTAATGAATGAAACCATAGCTGCCTTCTCTGACACATTGTGGTTTTTCTCCTATGGCTTATTTTATCTATTATCTGTATCACTCACTTCATCTTTTTCCCATTGTGATATACTGTACAGTATGTGTGTATACATACATATAATCACACACATATATATATACAAATGCACAAATACATACATGTTTGTGTAGGTATACATCTTAATACATACATATACCTACATTTTTGGTCTTGTATGGTTATTTAATTATTCCATTGCTGTTAGGTTTAATTAACTAATAATATGTAATATTCTTAACTCTAGTTCTTAATTTATATTCTACATACTTTTAAAAAGAATTTGTGGTGACTTTTTCAAAGATACAAAATTGGTCTTTATAGGTAAATATTTTTTGAAATGGAAGATCGCTTTAATGGTAACAATGTTCTACAAACTCAGTTTAATATCATTGCTTTAGCAATTATGGTAAGTAGGGAAAAAAAGCAGAGATCATATTTCCAGAGAAACTCTTCTAAGAGGAATTGACATGGCTGCTTATATAAAGAGCATCATAGAACATAATCAATGTCATCTATAAAAGTAATTTTGTAACATAAGCAGAAAATTGCCTCACATGGCCATTTTTCACACTGACCTTCAATTAAACCCAAAGTATTAAACCATAGCCTAATGAAGGCTTTCTGTGGAGAGCTAAGCTCAAGTGGCCTGGGAGAGCTTGTTTCTGGTGTTCTAGCCCGATAATGGTAAGGCTTAAAGAATATAGGATAACAAAGAACTATTACTCTCCTGAAAAAATGCCCTCAAGAATCTGCAACCTTCTTTTCTAATGGAAGGATTTCAAGATCAATGTGTTTAACATTGAACTCTCTAAAACATTCCAGAAATATAGGTTTTCCTTATTGATTGAAGTGTGATCCACAGTAAAGTTCAGATACAGATTACTAGAATATATTACTGACATATTTATAAACATTAATTTCATGATAGAGGGCTTCTAGCAAAATACAAGAGGGTCAAAGAAATGCTTCCAAGATATATTTTACCAGGTATGCTTTCTCACATATCTCAATGATCTGTTCCTTATGAGTAAAGCTTGTTTTTTTGTTTCCCAAAATTTAATAATGCAACCAACGAATCATGTTGAATAAATGAATGAAGACACTGGAATCTAGGGTTTTGCTACCGTGGGGCCACTATTGATGCTAGATATGTAGGGAATAAAGAAGGCAGATGCATTGGCCATTTTCTTTTGTCCTCCTTCCATATCCATTCTCAGCCTTCTCTGCTCCGCTCTGTGCCCCAGGAGGCTGATCACTCTAAATGGCAATACCTGCATCCCTTGCACCTTGGCTTTCTTCTGAATTTGACCAATGGGAGGCCCTGCTGGAGATCCCATGGTAAGAAAAGAGCTCAGAGTCATTTCTTCCCCACTCCCTGTCGGCTTTGACTTTCCAGTTCTAGAAATGGCTGAGTCCTTGCATAATTATAGCATCCATCTGACAGCTCATCTTCCATGGCTCCAGCTCTCACTTGGCTCTGGTAACATCATCACTGCCCTGCATCCTTTCAGATCTATGGATGATAGCCATGGATGCCTCATCTTTCCTCTTTTTGGTTCCTTTAATGCTGCCTGTGCCTCTGTTAATAGGCTCTTCATTTGATGTCTTTCACTAAATCATCTGAATAGAGTGCTGTTTCCTGCTAGAAATCCACTTACTAATTATCTATTGCAAACTTGTATTCAATTATAATATCCTATCTCCTGTTTTAGCGGAGCTCTAGCAAGGAAACAGCGATGAGGAGTTTAATGTTGTTTATAAGATTATATAATCTGATCATCTATTTAGAAAATAAAGGTATATTTCAGAATATTTGCTTGGCCACCGTAGAGTTAAAGCGTGAGTAGAAGGAAGATTTAGGTATTGCAATTAAAAGATTAGTGGGAATAAAGATGCAAGTCAGCACCGATCTGGGTATGACGCTGCAGGTGTGTGCAGGTGTGCGTGTGTGTGTGTGCATGTGTGTGTATGTGCATATGTGTATGGTGCTTTTGCATGAATCAGATTAGGTGAGGGGATGAGATAATCCAGATATTTGTTTTCCTGCAACAAACACTTGGCTAAGTATTTTAAGGTAGATATCAGGAAAAGAAAGCATATGAATTCCTATTTTAATTTCATAACTGTGACAAAGGATTACGTGGTAAATAAAGATCCAGTGAGAATTAACTGGTAAGACAGTGGCTTCAAGGGAGAAGTCTGTATTTTTTGTTTTTCTACCAGCCAGAATATACAGGCTTTTCTTTCTCTCCCAGGAGCTACCACTACTGTGCCTATCAGGACAAACTTTTCTTTATAAGCCTCCAACTTCATCTTTCATAAAGTGATGTAATCAACAGATGGAGTTAATTGAAGGCTGGAGAGGAGAAAGGACTTCAGCAGAAGCTACCAGCCACTCTTTGATAGAGTTTGAATCCCGTCTGTGTGCTCACTTTTGCCTCCTTGTTGGACATTCTTTCCTTTCCAGGGTTACAGTTAAGATTAAATGAGACAATGTTACGTGAAAACCCTCAACGCTATGCTTCGCCTGTAGAGGGCAACCAGTAATTTTATTTTTCCCTTCTGTTGCGAAGGAAGATGATGGTGTAGTGCCTGAGGACACAGATCTGAGCTTGAATCCGGCCTCTGTCTTTTTATCCCTTGTTAGCTGAGAGATCTTGAGCAGATTATTTAACTTCTCAGACTTTCAGTTCCTCATTGGAAAAGTGAGAGATCAGAACACCCGAGTGTGACTGGATATGTAATTCATGTGCAATAAACACCATGTCTGTCTAAGCCCAGGTTTTCTCATCATGGTAGTTATCCTGATTCCATTGGATTGTTGCTGGGAGTAAATGAGATGACACGTGTGCCAAAAACCCTCAAGGTGTGTTAGTTTTAACCCTTTCCTCAACCCTCATGACTTTGATTTATGAGCGACCGATTCTATGCCACACAGAAGAGAACAGTGGCAAGGCAGGTTTGTTTCCAGTTAACTTGAGTATAGGAGGCTCACCAGAGTATTTCAGGCATTTCATTTGTCCCTAAAATTAAAAAAAAAGGCAGAAATGGGCAAGAGTAAAGGCAAAAAATTGGAAAGTACAAGACCACAATCTAGGATTTTTGCAGGGAGAGAGCAGGAGAAATATTGAGGAATGATGGCTAAAGCCAAAATAGGAAGGATGACCTTGAATGCAAGGCAAAAAAAAAAAGAGGTTTTTATTCATTAAATGGTACAGAGCCATGGAAAGTGCTTAGGACAGTCAAAGATCTGATCATACTGGATCCAGGCAGGAAGTCAGGCATGAAGAGGGATCATACAGACTCCACATTTTGAATGAAATCATTATTACTGTCTACTGAAATGTGAGAGTATAAGTAAGTCCCACTGAGTCTCATCAACATGAGTGGGAAGAGAAAAGATTATTTTGCTAACTGTTGTGTCCTCAAAACCAGCATGAAAAAGGACCTTGGGGTGACTTGCCCATGTGCCACAGCAAACATTCTATAGGTTGCTTTGCCAGTTATGTTCTATTTGCTCACCTTCCTCCCACCAACGAGACCCATTTTTTGCCCTTTTCTGCCCTGTTTTAGGTCTTGGGAGGGGATAGCGGTAATGGTGTCTATGTACTTCCTGGTCTAGACTCTCTTGCCCTCTGGTCTCTGGTTGGATTTGGGAGCCAGCAGCAAGAGAGGTTGGTGAGAGGAGAGAGGGAAGTCAGGGCATTTATTCCCTTGACTCCCTCTCTGCCTTTCCTGTTTTTGTAGCAGTGGTTGCCTTGAGATCCCTACTCTTATTAAGCTCCATTACCTCTGCTTCCTTCCCTTTCCCCTTCAGGTCTGTGGTGGTAATAGCCTCCTACCATGGCAAGTCCCGGGATACCATAACCATCCTGTGGTTTCCCTTAACCCTACCCATACCTCCTAAGAAATCTCCTCATTGAAGTCTCTTGAACAATCTTCACTGGGTCCTATTCTCTTTTTTTTTTGTTTTATTTTGTTTTTGAGATGGAGTCTTCGTCTGTTCCCCAGGCTGCAGTGAAGTGGTACAATCTCGGCTCACTGCAACCTCTGCCTCCCAGGTTCAAGCAATTTTCCTGCCTCAGCCTCCCGAGTAAGTGGGACTACAGGCGTAGGCAACCATGCCTGGCTAATTTTTGTATTTTCAGTAGAGATGGGATTTAACCATGTTGGCCTGGCTGGTCTCGAACTCCTGACCTCAAGTGATCCACCCGCCTCGGCCTCCCAAAGTGCAGCGATTACAGGCGTGGGCCACCGCGCCTGGCCTCAGGTCCCATTTACCAGCAGGATCTTGACTTACACAGTTGCTAAGCCCTGATACTAATATTAGTGCCAGGACATTCAGACATCCAAGAGGTTTTGCACTCATCTCTATTTCCACTCACACTTCCTCTGGTCTTGGCTATCTTGGTAAATGGTTCTACCACTCACTCACTTGTTCAAACTCAAAGGAACTATTTTTGATTATTCCGGTTCTCTCCACTTCTATTCTCCAATCAATCTATCGCAAAGTACTGTAACCTCTTTCTCCAAGGTATATCCTAAATCTGCCCATTTCTCCTCATCTCCTCTGCTAACAACTTTGTCCAAGCCTCCGTCATCTCTATCCTGGAACGTTTCAGTGGTCTCTTGACTATTCTCTTTAATTCTTCCTTCCAATTCATTTTATACCCAGCAGCTAGCGGGGCATTTCTAAAAAGTAAATCAGACTACATCATGCACCCCTGCTTCCTCCAAAGCCTTACATTGCTCTTAGATTAACATCAGCGTCTTGGCATGAAATAAAAGTCCCTGCATCGTATGGGCTCTTAACCCCTTACCTCCCTGCCTT
This sequence comes from Homo sapiens, assembly GCF_000001405.40. Lineage (NCBI taxonomy): Eukaryota > Metazoa > Chordata > Mammalia > Primates > Hominidae > Homo > Homo sapiens. The sequence goes on along the minus strand of NC_000020.11, from coordinate 9,964,881 downwards.
TTTCTTCCTGGGATGCAACTACCGAAGCCTTCATTCTACCCTTAGAACACATCACATTTGTGTTCTCAGGGTCTTTGCACTTGCTGCTTCCTCTGCTGGCATCTCCACCCACAGTTTGTAGGTATCTGGCTCCTTCTTGTTATTCAAATCTCCACTTAAATGTATCCTCCTCAGAAAGCCACTCCCTGATGGATCACCCACTGGAATTCACTGCCCCTTCTCTGTTACTGTCACATCACGTGTTAATTTTCTTCATTGTCTCAAATTCTCATGGATGCTTTGTTCATGGATGAACAAAGAAATTTCTTTGTTCTTTTATTAGATTATTTCTTGCCTATCCCAGTTTCTCCAGAATACAAACCCTAAGGGAGCCATGGTGTTTGTCTGTCTTGTTCACCACCTGAACTCATAATGCACAGAAGAGGGCCTGGCCACAGTAAGTAACCTATACATATTGGTTGAATGTGCAAATGAGCAAACATCCTAAAACTTAAGAAAAAAGCAGAAAATAAAACTCAAGTGGCCAATCAACAACCTAAAAGAAACTCAACCTGATTAGTTTTCAGAAAAATGCAAGAATTAAAAAAAAAGAAAGAAAAAGAAATGCTAAATTCATCCATTTGATGGGGAAATTTTTTTTTAATCTGCTGAAACCAAGTCTTGGCAAAGTATTGAAAACAATGAAACTTCTAAGCATTGCCCTGAGAATGTCAAATGAGACACCCATTTTAGAGAGCAATTTGGCAGAATAAAATTGAAAATGCGCTTAGCATTTGACTTAACAATTCCACTTCTGAGAATTCACAGTAGATACATGATTGCATATATGCATAAGCAGATGTTAGGAGAGTGTTTATTGCAACAACTGTACATTACAGAAAGATTAAATCAATCTAAGTGTCCATTAATGAGGAAATAAATGAAATGTAACTTATCTATATGGTGAAATACTATACAGAAACCAAAAGAAATGACTGTTATGTGTATGTACATACATGCATAAATATATGAAAATCAAATTGCTAGACCTCCAAAATATAACTTTAAGTAAGAAGAGGCAAGATATACTTTGATACTATTTATGTAAATAATAAACACATATATTTTATATTCTATTATACTTATTGTTTATGGTATAAAACATGGAGTGGAAAGAAATCCACCATTGACCATTGTTCCCTTTGCAGAAGGAGTTAGAAAAAACCCAGGGGATTTCTGACTGAAAGGGAACACATTTCTAACGTTATATTTATTTCTGAAAGCAAATATAATCAAATATTAACAGTTGCTAATTCTGGATAATAACTATATGGGCATTTTTACTATTTTAAAAATCATATTTAATAATTTTTACTTTATAAAATTAAAAATAAAATAATTACTGTGACATAATAAGAGATATATATGTAGTCTCTGTCCCCAGTTCCTGACACAGAATTCCTAAAATCCTTTTAATTCTGGGAGACAGAAGCAACTTTCATTCTAATGAGGTGACTCTGAAAGGTTGAGGGCCGATCACCCCAGGAACAAACTATGTGATTAGAGGGTTGGAAATTTCAGCCTCACTCCTGACCTCCAAGGAAAGGAGAGGGGCTGGAGACTGAGTTAATCTCCATAGTGCCAATGATTTACTCAATCATGTCTATGTAAAGGGGCCTCCATTATAACCCTAAACAAAAGTGTTCAAAGGATTTCCAGGTTGATGATGCACCCCCATGCTGGGAGGGAGGATGGTGGACTCCAGCTTCACCGGGACAGAAACTCCTGTGCTTGACCTCGCTCTGTGCCCCTCCCCATCTGGTTGTTCTTTTGTATCATTTATAATAACCGTTATAAAAAACAGTAAGTCAAGTATTTCCCTGAGTTCTATTAGCCATTACAATAAATATCCTCTGTTAGTAGCTATGTCAGACAGAAGCAAGGACAACCTGGGGACCCTTTATTTGTGATTGGCACCTGAAGTTGGGGGCAGTCTTGTGGGACCGAGTGCTTGATTTGTGGGGTCCACACTAACTCTGGGTAGTTAATGTCAGAATTGAATTAAATTGTAGTACTCCCTGTTGGTGTCTGCAGAGAGTTGGAGAATTGGTTGTTGGTGAGAAAACACACACACACACACACACACACACACACACACATTTGGTGTCAGAAGTATTGTAAGTAAAGAAACAATTTTCTGTTTAAATGCCACTAAAAGTGAAGTAAATTATTTGGAAGTGGAAGCAGATGAGAAAGACCATCAGAAAGAAGCAGAGACAGAGAGGAGCTGCATCAGGCTGTTATCTGCACCGAAGGGCCTGGGAGGAGATGCTATTAGGCTTTGTGCCCTTTACTGGCTGGGCCAGTGCACCCACCAGCCTGTGTTGCCAAGGTCTGTGGCTGCACAGTTGTCCTCTTTTCTGGAGCCTTGCCTGACCTTGTAGCCCCTGAGCTGTGTTACAGAAGACCTGAGGCCATTCTCAATTCTTGTACTCTTCATAAGGCCTGGATGAATGGCTGAGATGGCAGTTCATATGTCCATGGGCATTTTATTTCAAATACTTCATGAAGTCTTACAGTACTTAAGATGACTTCTATGAGCTTTTTCCTTAAAAGCCTAACCCAGTGAGCTTTGTGGAAGAAGAATAGATTCAAAGTAGTTCAAAGTGACAAAAATAAATAAATAAATTCTAGACCCAGGAAGGAAAAGATCCCTTACTTTTACCATACATCTGATCTCAATTGGTTGAGAACCCTAATATGAAACAGACACACTCATTCTATAATTACAACAACAACAACACAAAATGTAGAGCGCCAAGAACAAGGAAATGTCAGTACATTTAATAATTTGAGTATATTGCCCCTAAAATTATAAGATAGTGATTGTCTGATTATCCATAGGGAGAAGATTTGAAATCCAGAAGTCAGCTGGACCCCGCATGTGAGGGAAGCCGAGTGCACTGCCTAGTAAAGAGAACCCATCTGCCAGAGACACACTCTGCTATCTAGACCATGTTGCCATAGGCAGGCCCAGTGCACTGTACCTAGATAGAGAAAAGCCATGTCCAAAGACCCCTCATCTTGCTACCTGGAAAACCATAGTAAAAGCCCCTGCCCCTGTCCAGATTCATGATGATTTTTATATGGAAAGTTTCAAAGAACTAGACAGAATTGGATGGGATACCGAGTTCCACCACTGAGTAGCTACCGTGCGCCATGAGTAAATTACTTAACCCCTTTGGGCATTTCATTCTTTGCATGTAAGATGAGATCTAGAAGTTTTCAGTGAAATAATGCATTACATGAATCCACACTAGGCATATTGTCAAGTCAGTTCCTTTTCTCTGAGCCAATGCAGGCTTGGCTTGGCCTTGATGGCAATACCTGCTACTCCCTTTGGCCAGGGCCTGCCTTTATGTTGCAAGGTGATGGCTGTAGGGGGTGCATGGATGATCCCCTGTCCCACCACACTCATGAGGATTCTAGCCCTGAATATGCTGCCAACTGTCTTCACTACCCAGGAACTTAGGCTAAAGTAAGGCTATGGTCCATTTTTTCAATGCCATACTCAAACACTTAATTAAAAAAATTGTTTTAGATGTATGTGTTATTTAAGAGCTTGTAGTTGCTCTTATCCTCCAACCATATGTAAAGTAGCACAATCACCACAGCTTATCACTAGGAGAGGCTGGAAATAATATCTTGGGAAGAAATTCAATTCCCTTTGCTTTCTCCGCCCATTCCAGAGCAGATGCATGTTTGCTTGATATAATGAATTTGGTGACAAACAAACTGGTAGATGTTATCTCATGTAATTTTGGGATATTGTTTCGTTAGTGGGTCAAACAAGGATTCACTGTTTCCCATTTTCTCACCCATATCTTTGCCCAAATTTATTTATTTTTCCTCCTATTTACTCTTTTGCTGGAAATATTTTGACATTTCAACTTCCTAATAGAGATATGTGATTGAAAACAATCATTTTCTGTCCCTCTGTAAACCTTATTCATGTAACAGTAAACCAATTGTTTTTTATTATACTTTAAGTTCTGGGGTACATGTGCAGAACGTGGAGGTTTGTTACGTAGTTATACATGTGCCATGGTGGTTTGCTGCACCCATCAACCCATCACCTACATTAGGTATTTCTCCTAATGTGCTTCCTCCCCTAGCCCCCAACCCCCGACAGGTCCCCATGTGTGATGTTCCCCTCCCTGTGTCCATGTGTTCTGATTGTTCAATTCCCACTTATGAGTGAGAACATGTGGTGTTTGGTTTTCTGTTCTTGTGTTAGTTTGCTGAGAATGATGAGTAAACCAATTTAAAAAAAAAAAGGAGTAAGACCTACTAGTACAAGGGACAGGAGAGGCAGCTACAACATAAAATATTGGAAGCTAGAAAATGGGTGAATCAGAAGAACCTGACTTAGCAAACCAAAGAAGGTCAAGTGATAAGCCTCAAGTGGGGACTGAGGAGAAGCAGTCCAATTAGCAGCCACTGACCTCCAGCAGGCTCAGAAGTTGGCAGTACTGGGTATCCCTGGAAGTGGGGAAGAAGGTGGCGCCATAACAGGGGATTGATTGGAAGTCTCTTGAGTTCAATTGCAAGATCCTACAGTCCATTCTTTGTGGCCAGGCAATCATCTTTCTTCATTCTGGTAAAATACCGGAAGTTTAGTAGTGGGAGAGGGTAACTGAAAAGTCTCTGGGCTGGAGGGTTGGAGGTACAGTGAAAACAGGAAGGTCCAGGCCTGCATCTGACGTTTTCAGAGCCCAAAGCAAGAGTATTCATGGGAGCTGTGGCCCTGGCCTCCCTTCCTTGCCTTCACACCCTGATTTCTTTCTTGACTGTCAGGGCCTTGAATGAGCACCTGTGGACACCCAGCCCTCCTGTGCAAGCTCTATCAGACTCCTGCAAATGGACACTCTTGTATATCTCTTGGTTTCAGGGGTGCATACACTGGTTGGTAAAATTGTTCATCCTCAGAGGGACAGACTGAGGGAACAGGCCCACATAGTCCCTGGAAGCAAGCTTGAGGCCACTTGGCAGAATTCTGAAACACAGTCTACAAACGGGGGATGGTGCCCTTGGCTATGGGAAAAGGTATCAACAAAGAAGGGCCAGAGAAAGGTCCTTTTAAGAATGTTGTCCAGGCTAAAGTGACTGTCTTGGTTTGCCTGGAACCATACTGGTTTTAGCACTAAAAGTCTCACATCCCAGCAGACTCCTCAGTCCAGGGCAAACCATGATGTTTGGTTATCCTTCCAGCTTAGTGGTGGTCCTGTATTTGCATACTTAACTCTGAGATCTCCAGCCTTCTTTTCCCATTTATTTCCCAGAGTGCTGGCAGCAAGGCCTATATCATCCAGGTACAAAATTAAAAGTTTTTCTCTGGGGAATTTGAGCAGCCCAAGGAGAAAGAGCTAAGAACTCTGACTTTAAAGATTATCTCAGAAACCTCCCTTAGACACCTCCATGGTAAAGCCCAGAGTTAACAAAGCCCATCCACTGGTTCAGAGCATCTAATGAGCTTTCAGGGCCCTAGGTTTAAACATAAGCAGATTGTTGAGGATCACTAGACACTTAGGAAATTCTTTATCATAAAAGATTAAGACCAAAATAAATAGACCAAAAAAAAAAATCTATTTGGAGAAAACATATTATGCAATGAGAAGAAATTTTAAAACACCTACATTAATATGCTCAAATCATAAAAGAAAATATTGTATTTATGAACAATAGAAGAAGATATTAAAAGAAAACTTCAAATCATTTTTTTTAAATGTTAGAAATTAAAATGTGAGAACAAACTTAAAAACTCCATGGAAGTATCAGAAAATAAAGTTGAAAATGTTTCCACAAATGAAAGAATGTAAAGATAGAAATGGAAATAGGAGAGGAAAAAAAAGAAATACTCCCACAAGATCTGAAAGCAAAAAGAAAAGAAAAGAAAGAGAGAAAGAGAAGAAAGAAAAAAAGAAAGAGAGAGAGAGAAAGGAAGGAAAGAAAGGGAAGGAAAGGGAAGGAAGGAAGGGAGGGAAGGAAGGAAGTGAGGGAAAGAAGGAAAGAAAGAAAGAGAGAGAGAAAGAAAGAAAAGAAAAAAGAAAGAAAGAAAGAAAGAAAAGAGAGAATATTGCAAAGAAATATCAGGTATTAGGGAAATATCAGGTATAGGAAGAAACAATGATTTGAGAAATTTCCCAAAATGGAGGTGGATAAGTTTCCTGATTGAAAAATCCTAGGAAAATGAATAATTTTTCATTTATTTTCAGCAATAATTGAAAATATTCCTATGCCAAGACAATGGGGAAATATCAAAGACATAGGATGAAGAGGAGTTACTGCAAGCTTCAAAGATATTTTTTAAAGTTGTAATTAAAGAATAAAAATTGAGAATGGTCTTAGACCCCTCATGACCAGAACTAGAAGCTATAGATATCACTGGAAGCTATAGACAATGGAAACATGGTTTACAATTCCAAAGGAAATGTCTTTTTGACCTAGAATTTTATACCTTCACAACATGTAACTTAATGTAAGTTTAGAATATTTCCAGACAATACAAGGCCTCCAAAATCTTTCTTTGGAAGCTACCAGAGGATGTGCACACCAAAATGAATAAACAAACCACAAAAGAATAAGACAGGGCTTAAGAAATAGAGAATCCAATATAGGGAAGAGAGAAAGACAATTATCAGAAGGACATTGATTCACCAGACTCACGGCAACTCTTCTGATGAAAGCTTGCCAGAAAGGTTTGGGAGAAATGTATTTGAGAAAATAAAATTATTGGATAATGATATATCTGAACATTTAAAGAGGAGCAGTCAGTGAGATAAGTAACTGGCAGAGCATTTGGGGTTGAATTATTAAAAAATAAATACATGGGGAATTAAGAAAATAAACTAGATGGACAATTAATTGCAGATAAAAAGTTTGCAAGAAATGAAAAAAATACAGTATATCATGTGGATCAGTTGTAGATAGCATTATTAATCATTGTAATAATTGCATATTATTCTAACCCAAGTTGGAATGTAACTATCCTAAGAGGATGAGGAGAGGCAAAAGGTATATTTCAGGGTGGGGAGGACACGGGGGAGCTGGAAGATGCGAGAGAGAGAGATCATGTAGGAGTCACTATTTTTCGTATCAGGAAGACAGTAGGTAATGCCCAAGACTGAAAATACAAAGGGATAAGTATAAATGTGCAATTACAAGCCATAAGGATGTCTAAACCAAAAGAATAGTTGTAAAAGGTTGGGAATGCTTGTCTGTTGAAAGAAGGCATTGGGGGTGGCTGCAGGGATGTAGGGGACTCATGTTTTTCATAACAAATATTTGAAGAACTATTGTAATCTTTTAACTATATGCGTGTATAACTTCATAAAAACACTTTCCTTCCCAAAAGGAAAACATATTAGGGAAGTTCTAAGTTGTAACTCAGCTTCCTTTTTATTTAACGATATCTTTAAAAACTTTTTCTACACAATCCTTTAAATATTCTTTATTTAAATAAATTCAATGGTACTGACTAAAATAACCAACAGAAAACCACAGAGGTACTGTCTAAGTTGTAGGTTATGGGTAGTTGATTAAATTAAAACGAAACCAGTCATGTGATTTTAACTTTTCATTGGGGAAAATACATTTTTTTTTTTTTTTTTTTTGAGACGGAGTCTTGCTCTGTTGCCCAGGCTGGAGTGCAGTGGATCGATCTCGGCTCACTGCAAGCTCCGCCTCCCGGGTTCGCATCATTCTCCTGCCTCAGCCTTCTGAGTAGCTGGGACTACAGGAGCCCACCACCACGCCTGGCTAATTTTTTGTGTTTTTAGTAGAGACGGGGTTTCACCGTGTTAGCCAGGATGGTCTCGACCTCCTGACCTAGTGATCTGCCCGCCTCGGCCTCCCAAAGTTCTGGGATTACAGGCGTGAGCCACCGTGCCCAGCCGGGAAAATACATTTTTAAATAAAGTGTGAAGTTTAATTAGATTTGTGTTCATGAGCTAAATAAAATGAAACTTTTACTTATTTAGAATTATAGGGAAATTAGATCTTCTAAATAATAGAATATTCTACTTATGTATGTGTGGTAGATTGTTTTTTTAAATGTCTCTAACTCTTTATCTTTCATATATGCATCCTCTACATAATGTGACTCTGTAGCAACCCCCATTGACAAGTGGAGTCTATTTCCTTACTCTGGAATCTGGGCTGGTCTTGTGAGTTGCTTAGCTAATGTAATGGTTTGGAAGCGATGGTATGCTAGTTCTGAGGGGTGCATGCACACTTCCACACTTTCTTTTGGACTCCCACCATTGCGTTGTAAATAAGGGACTATTTGGTTGGAAAATGGGAGACAACATAGTTGAGAGCTCAGTAGTCTTATCCAAGGCCCTGTTAAAACATCTTACAGCCAAGTATTGAGGAAGCCCAGCCTCCATCAACAGAGCTACCTAACCAACAACTGTTGACTGTAGAGACATGAATGAAACCAGCTGAGACCAGAACTTCCCAACTGACCTTAAGAAACCCCATGAGCAAAAAGAAATGTTTGTTTCTTTGAGCCATTAAATTTGAGAATGGTTTATTACACAGTACTAGCTAACTGATAGTTATCAACTTGTACCATAAATGAATATTCGACTTTCAAAGAACTAGAACTTAATAAGAAACTGTCATGATGCACTCTAATTAGGGAAAATAACCTTAACTTTCCTGTTTTGCATTTGTTTTGCTGAGGACTTTATACGAATGTACATAAGAACCATTGGGAATAACAGAGAGAGCTGAGTTGCCCTACATATAGAGGAAATAAAGTAACTTCAGAGTTGGAGAGAAGTTGACAAGAGTAGCTCCTAAAAGGGGATGAACAGAAAGAATCCGGAATGGTGAGTGTCCAAGTTGGGATTCCTTGAAAGAACAGGGATGTTTAAGACGTAATTTTTTAGTTGTTTTTTGAGGGGTGTAAAATGTAACACTCAACCTACACAACTTATGCCCTGATAAACTTTCAGTAAAATTTATGATGCTTACTCATGTTTCCTGTGTGACTGGACACTGTATGAGTAATTGGAAGGTCTTGCAAATTTCGTATCCAGGTTATTATTGGTGAAGTTGTGAGGTGGTGGGGGAAGACATCATGAAAGGTCCTGGTAATCAGATGCAATGATGCCCTTTAAAATGAAAATTGCTGAATGCAAGTTTGCATTAGGGGATAACTTTTTTTTTTTTTTTTTTTTTTTTTTTTGAGACGGAGTCTCGCTCTGTCGCCCAGGCTGGAGTGCAGTGGCGGGATCTCGGCTCACTGCAAGCTCCGCCTCCCGGGTTCACGCCATTCTCCTGCCTCAGCCTCCCAAGTAGCTGGGACTACAGGCGCGCGCCACTACGCCCGGCTAATTTTTTGTATTTTTAGTAGAGACGGGGTTTCACCGTTTTAGCTGGGATGGTCTCGATCTCCTGACCTCGTGATCCGCCCGCCTCGGCTTCCCAAAGTGCTGGGATTACAGGCGTGAGCCACCGCGCCCGGCCTAGGGGATAACTTTAAACTTCCTGAGGTTATATGCTGGTAGTGGTCTGAACCATTTTACTCAGATCACTAAAGGAAGGAAGCCCAACTGTCTCAGTTACGTGAAACAGTTTGCAGGTACATTAGGAAATACAGTAGAAGTTATATGTGTGCTACAGGACTTGACAATCCTACTCCTATGTATTTACCGCAATGAAATGAAAACGTGTATTCACACAAAACTCTTTACGTACATGTTTTTAAGTTATTATATTCATAGTCATCCAAGTTGTAAATAACTCAAAAGTCCTTCAGCTTGGGAGTCAATAAAAAAAACTATGGTACACACATACAATGGAATATGTCATTTGTTAGAACTTGTGGAATTAATATACAAAAAGGGAAGAATTATACCTTAATTTTTAAAACTAGAAAAATGTGTAGCATTAGGACCTTAACCTAATGGGGTTAAGGGTTTTCAATATACTTTTGGAGAGAAAATACAGTTGTTACAAAATCATTGATGATATGGGCATAATTGAGCTAAGCACCTCTTGAAGCCTGCAGATTTTAATTGATAAGGCAAGAAGGGATTTCCAGACCAGAAAAGCTTGAGAAAACTTAAAAGTATTGGTCAGATTTAGATGGGCTCTAAATGAAGAGTGGGAATTAGGTTAATGGGGAAAAGGAGAGAAGGGGAGAAAGTGAGCAGAAATTAAATACCTTATTCCGGCAAAAGGGAGGAAACCAATGAGGCTGGAATGGTACATATGTGATTGGGGTGGTTATTACTCCTGATGGAAACAAATGCATCACAAACAGCATTCTTCCTTGCTCAGCCTCTTCTGCCTGAAACAATCCTCTAGAATGGTCTCCAAGATACTGAGTACTCCCAGGTAATTACTTCAATTTGCACGATTGCGTGGGAAACTTGCTTCTAAATCAGGATTTCAAGAGGCAAAACTTGAGACTTCGGGAATTACAACTTTACAACTTGTTTTTACCTTGAGATTTCCCTCAAAATACCAAAAAGATAAAATAAGGGCAACGGAGTTAAGAAATGAAGGCATGAAAACAAGACAGAGCAAGTTTTCTTTGCTTGAGATGACTGTTGTTTGCAAAGGAGGAAAAATAAGAATTTCAGTGAACATTTATTTCTAAAGAATATGTTTATTTATATTGAAGAATTTCAGGACATAGAATGAATTTCTATTTGAGAAGAATACGACATTTTAATTTTAAACTCTCCCTCATTTGTGGTGATAATTGTCTTTCTCTAAGTGGCATATTTTTGAGTTTCCACTTAATTCAGAAATTAATTTATTGAGGGCTTTTTCTCCTAGGCTTATCCGTATGGGCTTGGAATTATCCCAGTAGATCTTAAATTCTAAATGGTTTGGACAGCTCTTCTAATCAGCTTCAGAGTAAAGAAGTTTTGTGCAAAACAAAACTGGGATATTGTTCTTTGAAAATAAATTCTCAGTTTTGGTTTGACCCCATGGGCTTTGATGAAAGCAGGACATTTGTCCATAATATAATAGGCCATGTCATTTCCACTGATGTCGAGGTTTGGTAACTTAAAGGCACAAATGGCCCTAGAGTCATATTATATGACTTTTATTCACATTACTGCAAAGAAATCAGGCAGTTTATATAAAGCAATAATAAGTACACACTCATAAGCTATTTTTATTATTAATTCTAAATGTCTAGCACACTTGCAGTTCATGGTTTTCTTTGTTGTTGTTGTTGTTTTAGGCCAAAGAGTAACCAACATAACTCCATTGGGAACTCATGTTTTTGTTTATTTTGGTAAGATCTTGAGCAGCTTTTATTAGATTGGAATTTAGCAGCAGCCTTCATTAGCACATAACGTCTATAGCCAACTGGAAGCAAAGTGCTAGAATGGGCAAAGATTGTGTGGGCAAGCCTCAGGAATGGTATCAAGGTTAATTAATTTAACTTGAAGTTTTGACAACTATTAGACAGACACAATCTCAAAAAATTTCCTAGGCAAGTTTGTAAGCCCCAAGGATATTCTGTGATGATAAACCTGGCAATTATTGTTGACAGCATTTGGAATGAGGATTTTAAGGGACATTATAACAGTTTGAATAGCTGTTGACAGCATTTTCCTTGGTACATCAGACATTTTTTAAGTTACAAGAGTGTTGTAACTTATTGTAAAATATTCAGACACTATAAAAATATAGGTGGTGAAAAATCAAAATCTCTCCCTTCCAATTCCATTATCCTGAAGTAATCATTGTTAACAGTATGTTGTATATTCCCCCAGAATCTTTCTTACACACACACACACTCACACACACATAAATAAGCAATGTAGATATTACTGAGGTTGTCGTAGAGAAAATGGAGATGGATATGTTACTTATACATATTTTTTATTTTCCAAAACTGGGATCTCTTTATCTATAGTGTGCAACTTATCTTTACATTTACTAATGTTCATAAGCATTTTCCATGCCAGTTCTTAAAAATATACTTCTCTAAAAATGTGTATAAAATTCTATAATATGACTGCACGATTTGAATATTGACTTTCTGATGGATGTTTAGATTATTTCTAATTTTTTAGGTCAAACCATGACATAATGCATTCTTTGTTGGGATCTCTTTGTGCAAGTTAGTTATTTTTGATGTACAGGTTACTAGATAAAGAACTGTTGGGTCAAATAATTTTAAGTATTGATTCACAATAACAAGTTGCCCTCCACAAAAAGAGAAAAAAATCTGTATAAGCTTACACTTTCTGCTTTCTGCCAATTTTGAAATTAATTTTTTTTTATTCTAGCCAATCTGATTTTCTTCTAAAAACTATGCAGTTATTGCCTGATTGCTAGTAAAGATGATATTCTTTTTTCTTCTTCTTTTTTCTTTTAATACAGACAGAGTCCCGCTCTGTTGCTCAGGCCAGAGTGAAGTGGCGCCATAAGCCCACTGTGGCCTCCAACTCCTGGACTCAAGCGGTCCTGCTACTTCCAGAGTAGCTGGGACAACAGGCACACACCACCATGCCTGGCTAGTTTTTCAAATTTTTTTGTAGAGACAGGGTCTCACTATGCTGCCCAGGTTGGTCTCAAATTTCTGGACTTAAGCATCCTTCTGCCTCAACCTCCCAAAGTTCTAATATTACAGACATGAGTCACCACACACAGCCTGAATATTCTTTCATAGTATATACTTTTTAATTTCTTTTTCTATGAATTATTATTTGATAATTGGTTCATAATTACTGGTTCATAAAAACTCTTTGCATATTAAAATTGTGCAGGATACTGTGAGTTGACTCACTTAACTTTTTATTTTTTATTTTTTATGAGACAGAGTCTTGCTCTGTTGCCCAGGCTGGAGTACAGTGGTGTGATCTTGGCTCACCGCCAACTTCTGCCTCCCGGGTTAAACAAGCAATTCTCCTGTCTCAGCCTCCTGAGTAGCTGGGAACACAGGCACGTGCCTTGTATTTTTAGTAGAGATGGGGATTCACCTTGTTGGCCAGGCTGGTCTTGAACTCCTGGCCTCAAGCAATCCACCCTCCTTGGCCTCCCAAAGTGCTGGGATTACAGGTGTGAGCCACCATGCCCGGCCTACTCACTTGAATTTCATTCCAAAGTACTTCCAACATACAGAGTTAGAAAAGTAAGGAAAAAAAAACATTTTCCAAATTCCTCTGAAACTTGAGTTCTGAACATAATCTAGGAGCCACCAATCAAACGCATGTACAGAGTACATCATTCAGAAGAAAGTAGAGAGGCAGGGTTTGGAGCACCTATTTCACAGAGAATAGTAGCAGTGGAAGTGGTATGGTTTTGGGAGTAGAGGCTATAGTTTCAACTTCCTAATCTGTACACAGATTCTTGATGCACCTTCTTCCTTTATGAAGAAATGCAACTCCCCTGATTTAGACAAATGTAGCATGGGTTTCTGCAGCAGTGGCAGAGTCCTCTGCATTTTTTAGCTGCCAGAGCAGCAGTAGAGCACTTTCCAGATCACACGTGGGGCAGAGTGGTTTTGAGGCTGGAAATTTCTGCTCTCTAATTCTCACACTGATTTTGTACACACTGTTCCCTGTATTACGTTCTTCTCAGCCAAAACCAACTTGTGTGGATTTTGTTGTCTGCAGCTGAAATCTGAACATTACAGAAATAGTAATAATTTTCAACTGCTTTATGTGTTATACATATTTTCTTCCAGTCTTGTCAGTCATCTTAAGTTCACATTCATTTTACAGAAGTTTAAAAAATTATGAAGTCAAATCTGGCAATCTTTACCTTTATGTATCTGGAATTTTGAATCTTGCGTAGGAAATTTCCCACCCCACGCATATCCTGTTGTATTTTTTTTGTACTTCTATGTTTTTATATCTAGAAATGTATTCCACCTAGAGTCCATTTTTTATGGTATATGTAAGTACCTAGTTTTATTTTATTTCCCAAAATGAATAGATAATTAGCCCAACAGTATTTATTCAATAATGTATCTTTCCTTCATTGAATTGAAATGCTACTTCTAACAAATAATAATTTCTCATTTATCATGAAAGGGCTTCTGAATTCTGTTCCATTGTTATTCTTCCTATTCTTTTTTAAATACTTCATTTTATTTATTAAACAATTATAATATAGTTTTAATTTTTAAATTTATTATAATAAATAACCATAAGTTTAAGTAACTAGACTAGTAACTTGACTCATATGAAGCAGAAATTCCATTTCTGAGAGCTCCTGGGAGTCAATTCCACATTTAATTCTTATTTGTATTCATGAACATAATAATGGTGTTTGGCATATAACAAATATTTTTGAGTGCAAAAATTATAAAATTCATCTCTTTTACATAAATTATAAAACTAACCATCTGATTATTGTTAGTGCCTAGTTTTTTTGCAATGTTTCATACCAATGATTGTTCAAATCATATCAAATTCATGTGATCTTTGCTTAAATGACTCCATTTGTTAAAAATATCCTAAGGAAAGCATAGAAAAGCTTTATGTATAAATTTTCAGCATCATTTTTAACAGCATAGGTTGGCACAAAAGTAATTGTGGTTTTGGCCATTACTTTGAATGGCAAAAATTGCAATTACTTTTGCATCAATCTAATAAAACTCCAAAGAACCAATAATAGAACAAAACAGAGTAAGTGTCTGTTGAGAGAAATGAAAATAAATTGTCAGATCCCTCAAAATTTGGAGTATTATGCTGTTCACAAAAAGTTTGAAGACAATTTAACAGAAAAAAGGACTGAGATATGGGATTAGGTTAATTTAAAAAAAACAGACTATATCATCATATAAGTAATATGTCTTCCTATCTACAGTCCTGTTTAAAAAGGAGGCTAAGCAAAGTCACTCTGAACCATTCTGGTGCTGGATGCTGCCCGATTCACAAGCCATTCTTTACTCAAACTCTGTTTAATTCAATTTGTCTTAAGTTTTTCTTTTAACAGATGGCATCAGAAGTGAGATTTGAAATGTAGAGCTTCCAGCAACTCATGGGTAAGTTCTCTCTCAGGTTCCAAAGCTCCACGAATTTGTGTTTTGAGCTATCTAAGTTTATTTGAGCCAATTTCTTATCTGAACTGGATTCAGAAGTCACAATGGAAACTGGACTGGGTCCAGGATTGGATTGAATCCAATAATTAACTGGATTTGATCTAGTTAGAAGCCTCTGATGTCTGACTATGTTAGAAATAATGTGGCAGTAAATGGCAATACTGCAGGGCATGTGAACTCTGGCTTTTGAAAATTCACAAGCATTTTTGTGTTCTACCCCACTTGTTTTGTTTTCTTGTGTGCTCAGGTAGGGAAAAATCAATAGCTAAGTTGATCAAGGAGATCTGAGAACCAAAGCAAAGATTCAAGGTAAAAATGGAATCTCATTTTCTAAGAACTGAGTATTCCACCTTCCAGCTATGCCCCCAAATAGCAAACACCAAAATGGTGAAATCTTATGAAAGATAATTTAGAATTACAGTGGAATGTTCCAAATGAACAACATTGTGCTTTAAGAAGTGAATTTTAAAATGAAGTCTCCTAAATTAGGCTCATCTAGGGATGCCTATTGATATGCAGAAGCTTCTAGAAAGATTTAAATATTTTTATTGTCTCTTCTAAAAGATTTTTCAAAAAAGGCAAATAAGTGGCTAATTAATAAGAACAACTAAATCTGCTAACCTTTTGACTTAGTGACTATCCTGCCCCAAAAGTGATAGGCCCTGGGATAATGTAGGCTTGTTTCTTTTGTAGAGCTATCCATGCTGAGCCCATACATACAGAATGCTTTCTTTTCCCTATTCTTTAATGGGCTATACCCTGAAGTCAGTAATTTTAGCTAAAAAAAAACAGAATATAAGTTAAAAAACCACCTATTGAACTAAATCAGTGTCCAAAATCCACTCTTCTGGCATTTAGTTGTCTATTTTTAAAAGTCTTTTATAAAATAAATTTGCATCTATAAAGGAAAGCTCTATTTGTAAGGGAATCTTCCTCTGTGCACCAGGAAGAGAGGGAAGACTAAGTCACTAGAAAACCTTACCATTGGTTTAGACTGACACAATATGTCTTAAGTGTAGGGTTCTTTACCTGGCCATCTTGTCTTAACTGGGCCTTTACCTACACTCTTCACTGGTTTGGGCAAATGATGGTATAATATTTAGGTTTGAAGTCTCAACTCCATGTCCTTGAGATATAAATTTTCTACCTTGTTTCACATAAGAATCATCCATTAGAAGCACAAATTTAGGTTTGCCTAGCTATCAGTTGCTTAGGGCAATAAAACATGTAATTGGAAGACTGATAGTCTGAATGGGGAAAAGAAAAACTATTTGGAAGCTAGCAAAAAAAAAATCTTAATGAAACCTGTAAGATTTGTTTCTGTATGTGTGTCTGTATGTATATGTGTTACGTGTATGTGATATTTCTGTGTGAGCTAATATTTAGTTAATAAAACCACTTTTAAAATTGTTGGTAAAATAAAATAGAAATATCTTCAGAATTGTCAGTATTAAATATAATTCAGACACTTTTGCTTGGGTCTATTGGTTAGGAAGGTTTATGCTGTCTCAATTATGTATTTTAAGATTGTAAAACTGCTGCTTCTATAATATTTTTGATACTTGTTTATTTTTTCTGTAAGCTAAAGCTGTAAAGGCTGGCTGCTGGGCCCCCCTGAAGGCTTACACACATTTTAATGTGAGCTTATGTCTTTGATTTTGAGCCTCTGGATTCTGGGGTCTGGACAAGTGGCCATGGTGAGGCCTGAGGACACGTCCTCAGCACTTGGACCACCAGTTGCAAGACAGAGCTAAGCCCAGTATGGCCCTATCCTCCCTGGCCCAGATTTACCTCCTGGCCATGCTGCGAGGGGTTGCATCCTCCAGGATTCCTCTTCACAGCCCTATCCTCTGTCCTTAGTTGTACATCCGGTGTATAAATTCAAGACCCAGATGGGACCTGCCCTTCATAGCCATCCTGAGTGCCACATGGATACTCAAGACCCAGAATGACTGGGGAAGACATTAGGGAAGGTACCTATGATATTGTTTTTAAATTATTTTCAGTAATTTAAAATCTTACTCTCATGTTAAATAAAACAATACAGACACATTAAATGTCTGAGTCATTTCTAAGTAAGTTAAAATACTGAAACATTATTAAATATAACTTTAGGTTTATATACTTTGGTATCTTATTTTTATATGGTACAGAAAAGCTAAATATATTTAGATCTGCTAAAAATGAGGAAACACATTTTTCTAAAAAATTATGAAATGATTTTCATTAACAAACACTAATATAAAATAATTCAAAATTACTTACTAGGTTTTTCACTGGAAGTTAGGGTTACTAAAAGTTTAAATTGTAGTTAATATGTGTAGTTAAAACTACTAGATATAAGACAAACAATTCTGTATACAGAGTATATAAAGAACGTAGGGTATGTTTTTGGTGAAGAAGGTTATTACAAAAGAGCCAAGGATGTGAGTGTTGTTAAAGGAAAAGTAATTTTGTCTAATTCTAAGGTAATTTAAAGGTTGTTTCAAAATGAAGGAAAAATGATATATATAAAACTAAATAAATATTAAAAAGTTGGGAAAAGAAAAATGAAAAAATTGGAAGACATTATAAAAGGTTTACAGAAATCTTATCTTGTGTGTTCAAAAGCTGACTGAAATTGGATGAATTTGTTTATAAGGTTTCTTTAAAATTAGCTTTAGTAATAATATACTAATACAAAAGTAAAATTTGGTTTTCTCTTTTGAAAAAAATTTCATGTAGTATTAGTAAGAAATAGTAACAGATTTTTGTTCACCTTTTGAAGAAGCTGCAAAAAAAGAAAAAATAGAGGAGAGAAGGATAGACAGATTCTGTCTCAGGCTGTCTTCAAGTCTTTTGATTGTTTAGAAAGTTGGATTTCTTTTCTAGCAAAAAATAAATGTTTTTGCTTTTTAAAACTTTTTAGTTATCATTTTGACTGAATGAATAACTATTATTTTATAATGACCTGTGATCTATTTTGATTAAGTATTTTAAAACTTTAACATATTTGACAGCCTTCCCAAAATCAAATTTCAAATTCCAAAATTAAGTCTTTTTGACCTCATACTACCTTTGGGATGTTCCAAAGGCCACCTGAAGCATTCAAAAGAAAGATAATAAAGAGGTGTATTCAATTAAATAATGTGGGGAGTTAAGTCATACAGGAAGCATTGTCAAGCAAGAAATGATGTTCAACCTTCTTCAAGTTGTATTTTCATGAATATGTTATTAATATGTGTCTCAAAATTGTGTGATACTTATAAAATTCTGTTATATCTTCGTATATGTAATGAATCATAATTATGATTATTATATTAAATTATCAAAGGCCACAGAAATAACTGAATTTTCCTCTCAGTTGTGTCTTAAATCATCACCATTTTAAGTCTGTCCACAGTTAATTGCTTAATTCTTATGCATTTTCTGAAAGCTGTTTAAAAGCAAGCAAATTCCAAAAGTGTTGTGTCTTTAAGGAAGTTCATGGAAAGAATGGAAAGGACCCTGACAAGCACTCTTGAACTCAGGTTTCTTATGACTTTAGGATCGTATCCTTTGGACTGTGTTAGCTTTCCCAGAACTCTAATAAAGAGTTCTGGTAATGTAGAGACTGAGCAGTTTGTAAAGCTGCTAATATAGAGACTGACTGGTTTGTAAAGCTGCCAACTCAAGCAGAACAGGAATTAATTAGATACCAAGGAAATACTTTGGTAGATTTTCAAGCTAAATCAGCCACTACTGAAATTGTTATGCTATGCAATTTGAATAAACCCTGTAGTCCAAGTCAAATCACCTATAATAACCTGTTTAATAAACACTGCTATACACCTGGAGAAACAAAATTAGTATTTAACAGGATATAAATTCAGTGTTAAGCATGAACTCATGGAGAACCTCATCCTTTCTGAGTTCTTAAAGTTTCCCTTATTATTATTATTATCATTGAGACAATGATATTATTATTATCATTCTGTTGTCCAGGTTGGAGTACAGTGGCGCAATCATTCCTCACTGCCACCTTAAATTCCTGGGCTCAAGCAATCCTCCTGCCTGAGCCTCCCAAGTAGCTGGAACTACAGGCACATGCCACTACACCCAGCTAATTTTTTACATTTTTTGTAGAGATGAAGTTTCACTGTGCTGCCCAGGCTGTTCTCAAACTCCTGTCTTCAAGCAATTCACCTCCTGCCTCGGCCTTCCAGTGCTGGGATTACAAGCATGAGTCACTGCACCCAGACAAAGCTTCTATTATTAAAAGCTGTGCACTCCATAATTCATCAAGGAAGAGACAAAGTAATCCAAACAAAAACACATATATTGGTGTAGTGACTGTTCTAAATTGCTAAAATTGTTTATGACCAATGTTTGGTTTGTCAAAACCATTATCTTGGGAAAATAATGAAAACTTCAGGTACTTAATGAACCATTTGTATGTTTATAGAGGAATTTCATTCAATTGCCATTTCCAATGCATGTTTTCTGGTTTAGAAGCTTTCCCATGCAAGGAAGCCAATGCTGTAATAATAGCTAAAAGATTAGTAGGAAATGTGTTTCTCTTATGGGACATTTCTAGAGAAATCTCCAGCATTAGAGGTACTTGTCTCACTGTACAAGTTGTCAAACAGTTAAATAAGATTTACAGATACAATAGCATTAGGCAAAGCTAACTGAATTGACTGGATTGCCTTCATCAAAGGTATTGCAGACTGCTGACAATCAGATTGACTCCCAGTGGAAAATGTAAGTTGGACCCCTTATGAAATAGTCACAGGAAGGCCCATGCCCCTAATAATAGAACCCTATGTATGTTTTGCTCCTAAATTCTGATGTGACTAAATGCTGCAAGGCTTTAATGCATTATGCCAAAGTGTATTTTCACCAGGTAAAGGAAGCCTTTGTGATCCACTGACTGAGGAGAATCAAACGCTTCACAATCTAGAACTCAGAGATTGGGTCTTACGGAAATGATGTCAGAGAAAGACTGCGTTTGCCGCCCACATTGCAGCAAAACTTTGGGACTTCAAACTTTGGGTTTATAATCTCACAACTCTGAAGAACCACTCCAGACTCTTGGAACTATATACCACTGGAAATTAATATAGTTTTGATATATGTCCCCACTCAAGTCTTATGTTGAAATGTAATCTCCAGTGTTGGAGATGGGACGTGATGGGAGGTGATTGGATCACAGGGGCAGATCTCTCATGGCTTGGTGCTGTTCTCTCAATAGTGAGGCATGAGGTCTGCTTGTTTGAAAGTGTGTGGCACCTCCTGCCCCCCTCTTGCTCCCATTCCCTTCACATGAGATGCCTGCTCCCACTTCATCTTCTGCCATGATTGGAAGCTTCCTGAGGCCTCCCCAGAAGCAGAGGCCGGTGGTATGCTTCTTGTGCAGCCTTCAGAACTGTGAGCCAATGAAACCTCTTTTCTTATAAATTACCCAAATTACCCAGTCCTCTTTTCTTTTTCCTTTCCTTTCTTTTTTTTTTTTTTTTTTTAAGACAGGATCTTGCTCTGTCATCCAGGCTGCAGTGCAGTGGCACGATCAGAGCTCACTGCAGCCTCGACATCTCAGTCTCAAGTGATCTTCCCAACTCTGCCTCCCTATCCAGAGTAGCTGGGACCACAGGCATGTGCCACCACCTGCAGCTAAAAATTTTTTGTAGAGACAAGCTCTCACTATGTTGCCCAGGCTGGTCTCAAAGTCCTAGGATCAAATGATCCTCCTGCATCAGCCTCTCAAAGTACTGGAATTACAGTCACTGTGCCCAGCCTCAGGTATTTCTTTATAGCAATGGAAGAATGGCCTAATATAGAGATCTTAAGATAAATCTAATCAGGAAAGTTTCTCCCCCAAAACAGATGGCATTCTAGATGGACAGCTTTCCCCAGATCATGGATCAAGGCTTCTTTGCCATAATCAAAGTCTTACCTCTCTTAATTTTTTCCTTGCATTTACCTCTATTAACAAAAGAACTAAAAAAGGGGCCTTGCATGCATGCATGAGGTGTATTTTTATTTGTGGAGGATTTCACAATCAACCTTACACATGGGCAATCTTATGCCTTGGAATTTTAATAATATTTTTGTTGCTCCATAATCAGTCAGAAACAGAAACTTGGTCCACTCCTCTTAATTTATACCATAAATTAAAGAGAATATTTTAAGGAGGACTTCACTTCTCTTCTGAATGGGCATCATTTGTTAGGTCTCTTTTTACATGATTTGGAATAAATAAGACAATAATTAGAAATTTATCCCTCATTTAAAAAAAGAAGCTGGGCCAGGCGTGGTGGCTCATGCCTGTAATCCCAGCATTTAGGGAGGCTGAGGCAGGTGGATCACCTGAGGTCAGGAGTTTGAGACCAGCCTGGCCAACATGGCGAAGCCCTGTCTCTACTAAAAATACAAAAAGTAGCTGGGCATGGTGGCGCTCCTGTAATCCCAGCTACATAGGAGGCTGAGGCAAGAGGATTGCTTGAACCTGGGAGGCAGAGGTTGCAGTGAGCTGAGATCATGCCATTGCACTCCAGCCTGGGTGACAGAGCGAGACTCTGACTTAAAAAAAAAAAAAAAAATGGTCAAGAGAGTGATTACCTTGAGGGTAGGCAGTGGCTGCGAGGGGAACAACAGAGGTTTCTGGGGCCCTGGTAATGTTTTCTTTCCTAATCTGGGTACTGATTACAGTGGTGTGTTCACCTTGCAAAAATTTGTCCAACTGCACTTTCATTATTTATGCACTTTTTGCATGTATAACATACTTTAATAAAACATACACATACACACACAAGAAAAAGAAATTTATCCCACATGATAGGCTCTATAGCAGATTCTACTGCAAAGGCTGTGATTGCGCAACAGACTTCTTTAAATTCTCTTGCTAAAATTATACTAGATAAGCCAGGTATTTTGGCTCACTCCTGTAATGGCAGCACTTTGGGAGGCTGAGGTGGGAGGATCACTTGAGGTCAGAAGTTCAAGATCAGCCTGGACAACATAGTGAGGCCTTGTCTTTACTAAAAATCAAAAATAAAATAAAATAAAGCAGGGTTTGGTGGTGCACACGTGTCGTCCCAGCTACTTAGGAGGCTGAGGCGGGAGGATCTCTTGAGCCTGGGAGATCAAGGCTGCAGTGAGCTGTGATTGCATCACTGCACTCCAGCCTGGGAAACATAGCATGACTTTGTCTCTAAATAAATAAATATAAACTTGTACTTGATAATAGAATTGTTTTAGATCCTGCTGGCTAAATAGGGAGGAATCTGTGCAGTTGCTAACACTTCTTGTTGCACATAAATGAATATATGAGGTATTATAGAGACTCGGTTGCAGGGGATTTATGAACAGGCTGCTTGGTTAAATGAATAGACTCTTCATCTGGCTCATATTTTGTTCTATTTGATTTTAGTTGGTTTGGTTCATGGGGACTCTGACTAAGGAGTATACTCCAAACTCTTGGTATTATGCTCCTGATAGTAATAATAGTAGTCTCCCTAGTGGACTGTATTCTCTCAAAATTTGTAAATGTTGGCATGCAGCCATCGTAGAATGTCAAATAGTCTCTCTTCAATTTGAATGACAAAAACTTAAAGAAATGCATAATGAATAGTGTAATGAAATTGGAAACCCTAAATGATGGTAACAGAGTGTAGTGTTAAAGCACTAAGTTTTGGTCACATTCTCTCCTAGATGAGAAGCTCACCAAAAGGGGAAAAATGTTAAACAAAATTGTGGGAGGCCATTGTTCCAGACTAAGCTCCTGCACTAGGCTCCAGTAGACTAGACCAAACCAAAATGGAGTCACTCATGCTAAATGTGATATAATCAAGCTGAAATTTTAAGAAAGCAGATATATTCTAAAAACAGACCAGTTTTTTTTTTCTCCTGAAAACACTAGTCTCCAGCATGATAAGGTAGTCTCCTGTGCTGTAACCCTTAAAAAAACAAAAACAGCAGAAGTAACCAGTTTTTTTTCTATTGTCTGTTCCTTATTCCTACCTTATGAAACTCACTGTTCTGCTATTCCCTAGTGAAATTTGAGACCAAATAAGTCCATTTACAATGATGACAGAAGAGATCAATGCTTAAAGTTTTGGTCTATCTCTCAAAATTGAAAGGTTGACCAAAGCAGGGAACTGTCAAATTAAGTTCAACCAAAAGATGCCTCCTTATGTAACTTCAGTTCAGTTTAAAGGTTCTCCATACATAGTGAACTGTAACCTAACTGGATATGCAAACAAACTGTAACATACCTTTGTATCAATCACAGGGTTTCGGCCAATCACAGGGTTTCGGCCAATCACAGGTGGCCAAGTGTTCAAACTGTGTTCAAATAAGGCAAACGCTGCTGAACTGTAATGAATCCAGCTGTTTTGTACCTTACTCCCATTTTCTGTAAGTCACTTTCCTTTTTCTGTCCATAAATGTTATCCGACCATGGCAGCCCCAGAGTAATTCTGAACACATTCTGCTTCTGGGAGCTGTCTGATTCACAGATCACTCTTTGCTCAACTAAACCATTAAATGTAAAGAAGAAGAGGAAGAAGAAGAAGAAGGAGAAGAAGGAAGAGGAGGAGGAGGAAAAGGAGGAGGAGGAGCAGGAAAAGGAGGAGGAGGAGGAAGAGGAGGAGGAGAAGAAGGAGAAATCTAAGGAGGCATTTCTGCAAATGTTTTTATGCTAGAAAATAAAATAGAAAAGAAAATTGGAAAATAATGGATAGTTTATACTGTGGAGATGACAAGACTGTGTAATACTTTGTTTACTTTAACTAATGCTAGTTTAACAATGATTATACAGTAAAAATTATTAAGCCTACTCAAGGGTGTTGATGTTTTTTAAGATATTTGTGCAATAGACACTGTCATAGCCTGAGTCTTATAGAAAATAAACCCTAAGGCAAAATGTACGTGCTTATTCTTTGAAGAGGATTGGAAAAATGTCTTCAATTCTCTGTTCCCCTCTATATATGTACATTTGCAATGTATCTCTGTAAGTCCCCTCATTAAGGGATGGAATCTATTTCCCCAACCCTGGAGTCTGGGATAGCCTTGTGATGAAGTTTGCCCAATGGAATGAGATGAAAGTGATCATGTGGTTGTTTGAAGCTTAGCATGGCTTCACTTATTTTCTTGGGACCCTGCTCAGCTGCCATAGAACAAACCTGGGCTAGCCTACTTGGGGATGAGTTCATGTGGAGCAGTAATGGGCCATGTGTCCTATACTAGCCAAAACTTAGCCAATCTAGTAACTTGGTATAGTTGTATGAGTGAGTCAAGCAGAGACTAGAAGAACTGTCCAGCTGAGCACAGCCCGAATAGCCAAGTTATAGCATTGTGGCCTAATAAATCCATGTTATTTTAAGCCACTAAGCTTTGGGGTATTTTGTTATGTAGCAAAAACTAACCTTTCCATGCTCTATTGGGGAGTGCAAGTGCGATGAGAATGAAAAAAAAAGGAAAACAGAGGCAAGGAAAGTGAAAAAAAATACAAGGAGGAGCATTCCAAAGATTTTTTAAAAATGTGGTAGCCTCCCCAAAAAATGTGGTAGCTGGGTTATAGCAGATGTCTTCTAGAAGAACCTAAAAGAGACACAGAATCTTAAAACAGGTTGTCAAAGAAGGAGACGAGAAAAATATTTATCTGCCAGCCACTTTACGTATTCTGTCTCCCATTACTTCACATTTGCTCCACTGGGCATTAATGCCCAGGCGTTTCTGGATTGTGTTACATTGTCTTTATGTTAATCACCACAGGGAAGCCAGATCTCGTGAAAATAAAGGTGACAGCAGCGTGCTGGATGAGTGTGGTGTATTGTTCACCAAAATAGCCTCAATTCTCTGCTTGGCTTTATACCCACACACTTTGTAATGTGACGTTGCAGTTCCTCCCATTAAGTGGTAGAACCTATTTCTCCATCCCTTGAATCTGGGCTAGCATTTAACTTACTTTATAGAATGTGACCAAAGCAATTTTGTACCTGTTCTGAGAAAAAAACCAGAAGAGGTCTTGCATGCTTCTGCTCTCTTTTGGTACCCCTGGCTCTCTAAGTAAACAAACCAGGGATAGGTTGGTAGTGGAACTCAGTTGTCACCATTGTATATTTCTCCATCCCTTGAATCTGGGCTAGCCTTTAACTTACTTTATAGAATGTGACCAAAGCAATTTTGTACCAGTTCTGAGAAAAAAACCAGAAGAGGTCTTGCATGCTTCTGCTCTCTTTTGGTACCCCTGGCTCTCTAAGTAAACAAACCAGGGATAGGTTGGTAGTGGAACTCAATTGTCCCCGTTGTATACCAGCCAACAGCTAGCTAACTGTAAAAAGCAAAGCCACCTAGTTAATCTACTATTGACTGCATATTCATAAGGGTAAATAACCTTTCAGGTGGGTCTAGCTTAACTTGCTGACTCATTGAATCATGCACTAAATATAATTGTTGTTTTAAGCTACTGGGGTTGGGATAGTTTCTTTGAAGCAATAACAAATTGAATGAACTTTTAATCGGGTGAGTGAATTATATTTGCAGAATCAGGACTTGAAAAGGTTCATATTTTTAAAGATCAGGCCACTCTAAGCATGAAAACTTGCCTATGCCATTGTATCTTTGGACTGAAAGGTGTCATTACAAATTAGCTTTCTAATTAGCCAAATTCCAATATGATGAGTTTAAAAACTATTCCTATTAAAAGCAGTATGTGATAGTGGCAAGCAGCCTGGATTGCTTTTTGTACTGAAAAAGTGTTAATAATCTGTTCCCTTGGTTTTCATTGATTGGTGCTTAATATACTGTGTAGTGGAGTAGATTGTTTTTCATAACAATGAAATCTGATGGAAATGTTTACTTAGACCTGCTATGCTAAATGATGAACATATAATCATTGTCCTGTAGGCAGACGGGTATTATTCTTCATCTCTGGGAAAAACACTCTCATTGAAGAATTTTGGCTTCTTCCTTTTATTAACTATAGCATGGGTTTAGTAGCAGATAGGAATTTGGCTCATAATTGCATTGATATATTCAGAAAATGGTCGATATTTTTCTTTTTATTTTAAAGACCAGTGTGATGAAGTTGACACTTCTGACCCCTGGCTAGGGGAGAAAAACAAAGACCAAGTATGTGAAGATCCAATCGAGGACACTAAGGAGACACTTTAAACTGTTCTTTCTAATTAGTTCTAGGTACATAGGTAAAGGCAGAATAGCAACGCTAGAAGCAGCTGCTCAGTTATGTAACTATCAGAGACAAGCTGTATATCTTCACCTTATATAATAAAATATTTAAGCGCATTTTGAGTAACTCGGCCTCAGAGATGGAACAAAATATACCTAAGTGTTTTATCTTTCCAAATCTTTCTTCATATCAGGGTTTCACAACCTTGGCACTATTGGTATTTTGAGCCCAGTGATTATTTGTTGTAGGGGCTGTCCCATTCATTGCAGGATGTTTAACAGCATCTCTGGCCTCTACCCACTAGATGCCATAGTTGCACCTCTGTGCAATAAAAAATGTCTCCAGACATTGCCAGGTGTCCTCTGGGAAACAAAAGTGTTCCTAGTTGAGAAGCACGGCTCCAAATCAGTATCTTTATGTGGTCTCTGGGGTTATGTTTTGATTCCCTGGGGGCTGTTGCAGAAAATGGTAGAGAAGTCAAATATGTAAGATGTCCAGGTCTCCAATCCTACTTCAGCCAGAAAAATCTAGTTTTATTGCTTGTTTGTTTAACAAATTGGGTTTTATGCAAAATTTGAATTGATGCTCAATCAAAAGTTCTTTGAATGTCTGGTAGAATTCAGCTGTGAATCTGTCTGGTCCTGGACTTATTTTTTTGTTGGTAACTTTTAAATTACCGTTTCAATCTCACTGTTTTTGATCTGTTCAGTTTCTATTTCTTCTTGGTTTAATCTAGGAGGGTTGTATATTTCCAGGAATGTATCTATCTCCTCTAGGTTTTCTAGTTTATGCACGTAAAGGTGTTCATAGTAGCCTTGAATTACCTTTTGTATTTCTGTGGTATCGGTTGTAATATCTCTTGTTTCATTTCTAATTGAGCTTATTTGGATCTTCTCTCTTTTCCTAGTTAATCTTGCTAATGGCCTATCAATTTCATTTATCTTTTCAAAGAACCAGTTTTTGTTTCATTTATCTTTTGCTTTTTTTATTTCAATTTCATTTAGTTCTGCTCTGATCTTTTGTTATTTCTTTCTCCTGCTGGGTTTGGGTTTGTTTTTTTCTTGTTTCTCTAGTTTCTTGAGGTGTGACCTTAGATTGTCTATTTGTGCTCTTTCAGACTTTTTAATGTAGGCATTTAATGCTATGAACTTTCCTCTTAACACTGCTTTTGCTGTATCCCAGAGGCTTTGGTAAGTTATGTCGCTATTATCATTCAGTTCAAAGAATGTTTAAACTTTCATCTTGATTTCATTGTTGACCCAGCAATCATTCAGGAGTGGGTTATTTAATTTCCATGTATTTGCATGGTTTTGAGGGTTCCTTTTGGAGTTATTTCCAATTTTATTCCACTGTGGTCTGAGAGACTATTTGATATAATTTCTACTTTATTAAATTTGTTGATACTTGTTTTGTGGCCTATCATATGGTCTATCTTAGAGAATGTACCATGTGCTGATTAATGGAATGTATATTCTGTGGTTGTTGGGTAGAATGTTTTGTAAATATCTGTTAAGTCCATTTGTTCTAGGGTATAGTTTAAGTTCATTGTTTCTTTGCTGACTTTCTGTCTTGATGATGTGTCCAGTGCTGTTAGTGGAGTATTAAAATCCCTCACTATTATTGTGTTGCTGTCCCTCTCTTTTCTCAGGTTTAGCAGTAATTGTTTTATAAATTTGGGAGCGCCAGTGTTAGGTGTATATATTTTTAGGATTGTGATATTTTCCTGTTGGACTAGTTATTTTATCATTGACCAGAGAGATTCACAGCTGAAATCTATCAGACATTCAAAGAAGAATTGGTACCAATCCTATTGACACTAATCCAAAAGATAGAGAAAGAGGGAATGCTCCCTAAATCATTCTATGAAGCCAGTATCACCCTAATACCAAAACCAGGAAAGGACATAACAAAAAAAAGAAAACTACAGACCAATATACATGATGAACATAGATGCAAAAATCCTCAACAAAATACTAGCTAACAGAATCCAAGAGCATATCAAAAAGATAATCCACCACGATCAAGTGGGTTTTATACCAGGGATGCAGGGATGGTTTAACATCTGCAAGTAAATTAATGTGATGCACCACATAAACAGAATTAAAAACAAAAATCACATGATCATCTCAATAAAAGCAGAAAAAGTATTTAACAAAATCCAGCATCCCTTTATAAATAAAGCCCTCAGCAAAATTGGCATAGAAGGGACATACCTTAAGGTAATAAAAGCCATCTATGACAAACCCACAGCCAATATTATACTGAATGTGGAAAAACTCAAAACATTTCCCCTGAGAACTGGAACAAGACAAGGATCCCCATTTACACCACTTTTATTTTTTTTTGAGACGGAGTCTTGCTCTGTCTCCAGGCTGGAAGTGCAGTGGCGCACTATCAGCTCACTGCAATCTTTGCCTCCCAGGTTCAAGCGATTCTC
Organism: Homo sapiens; assembly: GCF_000001405.40. Classification (NCBI taxonomy): domain Eukaryota; kingdom Metazoa; phylum Chordata; class Mammalia; order Primates; family Hominidae; genus Homo; species Homo sapiens. Next base: position 9,936,225 of record NC_000020.11, on the reverse strand, counting down.
CTGCCTCAGCCTCCCAAGTAGCTTGGAGCTGGGATTACAGTCATCTACCACCACAATTGGCTAAGTTTTTTTTTTTTTTTTTTTTTTTTTTTTTTTGCATTTTTAGTAAAGATGGTGTTTAACCATGTTGGCCAGCTGGTCTTGAACTCCTGACTTCAAGTGATCTGCCCACCTCGGCCTCCCAAAGTGTTGGGATTACAGGCATGAACCACTACACCTGTCCCACCATATCTATTCAACATTGTACTGGAAGTCCTAGCCAGAGCAATCAGTCAAGAGAAAGAAATAAAGGGCATCCAAATTGGTGATGAGGAAGTCAAACTGTCACTGTTTGCTGATGACATGATCATATACCTAGAAAACCCTAAAGACTCATCCATAAAGCTCCTAGAACTGGTAAATGAATTCAGTGAAGTTTCAGAATACAAAATTAATGTACACAAATAGGTAGCTCTGCTAAACACCAACAGTGACCAAGCTGAGAAGCAAATCAAGAACTCAACCCATTTTGCAATAGCTGTAAAAAATAAAATAATATAAAATAAAATAGTTGGGACTATACTTAACCAAAGAGGTGAAAGACATCTATAAGAATACTACAAAATGTTGCTGAAAGAAATCATAGATGACATAAACAAATGGAAACACATCCCATGCTCATGGATGGGTAGAATTAATATTGTGAAAATGACAATACTGCCAAAATCAATCTACAAATTCAATGCAATTCCCAACAAAATGACATCATTATTCTTTACAGAACTAGAAAAGGAATCCTAAAATTCATATGGAACCAAATAAGGGCTTACATAGCCAAAACAAGACTAAGCAAAAAGACCAAATCTGGAGGCATTCCATTACTTGACTTTAAACTATACTACAAGGCCCTAGTCACCAAGACAGCAAGGTACTGGTATAAAAATAGGCACATAGACCAATGGAACAGAATAAAGAACCTAGAAATAAACCCAAATACTTACAATCAACTGATCTTCTACAAAGAAAACAAAAACATAAAGTGGGGAAAGGACACCCTATTCAACAAATGGTGCTGGGATAATTAGCAAGCCACATGTAGAAGAATGAAACTGGATCCTCATCTCTCGTCTTATACAAAAATTAACTCAAGATGGATCAAAGACTTAAATCTAAGACCTGAAACCTTAAAAATTCTAGAAGATAACATCGCAAAAACTCTTCTAGACATTGGCTTAGGCAAAGACTTTATAACCAAGAACCCAAAAGAAAATCCAGCAATAACAAAGATAAATAGATGGGACTTAATTAAACTAAAAAGCTTCTGCACAGCAAAATAAATAATCAGCAGAGTAAACAGACAACCCACAGAGTGGGAGAAAATCTTCACAATCTATGCGTCCGACAAAGGACTAATATACAGAATCTATAAGGAACTCAAACAAATCAGCAAGAACAAAACAAACAATCCTATCAAAAATTGGGCTAAGAACATGAATAGATAATACTCAAAAGAAAATATACAAATGGCCAACAAACATGAAAAAATGTTCAACATCACTAATTATAAGGGAAATGCAAATCAAAACCACAATGCGATACCACCTCACTCCTGCAAGAATGGCCATAATCGAAAAATAAAAAAATAATAGATGTTGGCATGGATGTGGTAAAAAGGGAACACTTTTACACTGTTGGTGGAAATATAAACTAGTCCAACAACCACTATGGAAAACAGTACGGAGATTCCTTAGAGAACTAAAAGTAGATCTACCCCCATTCCTGGGTATCTATCCAGAGAAAAATAAGTCATTATAAGAAAAATATACCTGCACATGCATGTTTATAAAAGCATGATTCACAATTGCAAAAATATGGAGCTAGCCCAAATGCCCATCAATGAGTAGATAAAGAAAATGTAGTATATGTATACTATGGAATATTACTCAGCCTTAAAAAGGAATGAAATAATGGCATTCTCAGCAACCTGGATCAAATTGGAGACCATCATTCTAAGTGAAATAACTCAGGAATGGAAAACCAAGCATCGTATGTTCTCACTCATAAGTGGGAGCTAATCTATGAGGATGCAAAGGCATAAGAATGATACAACGGACTGTGGGGACTCGGGAAAGAGTGGGAGGGGGGTGAGGGATAAAAGAGTGCACATTGGGTACAGTGTACACTGCTCAGATGATGGGTGCACCAAAATCTCAGAAATCACCACTAAAGAACTTAACCATGTAACCAAACACCACCTGTTCCCCAAAAAATTATTGAAATAATTTTCTTAAGTTCTTAAAAATTTTTCTAAATTCATGACAATGTTAGTCCTATGATTCAGATATTAGTACTAAAAATTACCTTTCTAGAAGAGCATCAACAAAGCATGCAAGAGTCTGTTACATTCTAACGATGTTGGTTACCCATCCTATGAGAAGACTTTTGGCCTATACAGTCATAATACAAGGTTATGACTGAAACATTTATAGTCAGCATCACTAGGAAGAAATATAGCAACTTCATAAGAATTTCAGTTGCATTTCCCCTCTGAAAAGGGATGCCACTGGTTAAAAAATGGACTAATCAAGAGAGTATAGAGGGTTAGCAGCCCACTACCACTGTTACTTACTTGTTCATTACTGGAAAAAAAAAGCTTTAAAACATACTGTTTTGCCTTGACTTAGAATTTTTTGAAAATTAAAATGCTAATTTCTACAGCGAAATTTAGTATTGTATTAGCCACAAAACCACCTTCCCAAATGAAATTTTATCTATAAAACGGAAAAAAAGAGAAACTGTACAGAATAAAAGAGAAAGTTATGGGCCCAGAGACTCAGCCAAGCACCGTACTGAAAGATTAAGTCTCTATAGAAATATAGAAACTAATGATCTATATGAACACGTATATGTCCATGTGATGTCTGTCGTCATTACAAGGTGTTATACAATGCAACCGTCCACTCCACTCTGCCACAGTTGCACATGCATGTTCTCTATATGCTTATTTTAATTTTCTATAAAATTTCACATCCTTTTGCAAATTTTCCTATTTTATCACACAATCAAGCAGTATTCCCAGTGGAGCACACATAATCGGTCAACCACCACTTATTTAGTGCTGTGTGCATTTGGATAATTTAGTAATTTTTTTAGTTATAAAATCAAACTTTACTTTTTATAATCAAAATAGCAAAGCTCAAATATTTGAGTGCCTGATTTTTTTTATTAAAGTAAAATTTACATAAAATAAAACATACAGTTTTTAAGTGTTCTGTTCAATGAGTTCTGACTGTGTAATTGAATATGGCTGTGTAACCATTACCATAAACAACATATAGAACACTGTCATCACCACCCAAAATTTCTTGTGCCTTTTTCTAATTTCTTTCATTGGAAGTCTTCACTATCTGAATTCAATCATCACAGATTAGTATTTAATGCTCTAGACTTTACGTGAGTATAATCATGCAGCATACACTCTTTTCAGTTCATTTCTGTCCCTGTAGCATTGTCCATAAAAGTCATCCATATATCAGTTGGTTTGTCTTTATTACTAACTAGTATTGCAATGCTTCATGCATGCTTAAAAGGTTATCTTCATATACTAATTTATATGTATATAAGGATGCACTTAAAAATGCCAAATCTCTATGAATTGTTTAAAAAACAATTTTCATTCTGTGATGGCCTTCATTGATAAGCATCTATTTGAAGTTAATCTAGCACTGAGCGGGAGTCCTTGCTTTTTAATTTGCTTTAGTTTTTCAAGAAGCATTTTTAAATTCCAAGTTGCAAAAATAGAGATGCAAAACCTGTGCTTGTGGTTCAATGGTAACTATTTTAGCAATTTATCATTGTTCTGGTAACATGATCAGCAACTTTTAAGGCAATTAGTTTGTGTAGAAATCATTAACATAAAGGAAAAGAAAAGATGAACAGCAGTTGGTCTTCAAAGCATTTCTCTTTTGCATGACAAGAATGATGTGGGCTTATTCAATAGATTGGCATTATGAGAAAAATTTTACCTCCTTTAACTTCCAGGGCAAAAATTATTTTGGTTCATCACTTGGAACTGCTGTGGAATTTTTAGGTATAAAATGTAACAAAACCACACAGGCTTATAGGAACATTCTAAATGCTGTTTTGGGGATAAGTAGTTAACCTAAGCATTAATGCTGGCAATGCCAAAATACTAACATAACTTTCTAAGTATGTTAATTTTAAGACAGTTGCTCAACAAACATTTTTTGATTACATGTTTTATTTCAGGCCTAAAGCTCACTACAATACCATAAAGATCAATGAGTCAAGATTGGTGATGTAAATTTACATATGTATTACATCTTATTTTTAAGTCACAATTTTTCCTCTGCCCAATACTCAGACCTTATCTAAGTAATTAAAAGAAATAAAAAGCTGAGGTTCAAGGGAAATTTAGCATGACTCCTTTCTTTTAAAATCTCTGATTGATTAGTTTTCCAAGGAATCTTTGTAAGTTAACACAGTGTGCATGTGTACAAAGGAAGCACACAGTCATTTTCTTAGTGGAACAGGGAATGAAGAAAGACTCCTGGGGAAGAAGATGGAAACTAAATATTTCTAGAGACAGCACAGATTTTAGAAATTGGATGAAATTAGAGTAAGTTAGTTTCTGGAGTATCTTATAAAATTTCTCTTATAAAATGGAGAAACCAGAAAAGGCATATATGTCTGATTCCAATATGTATTTTAATACAAAAATAAGACCATCCAGTGAATTTTTAAAAGCTAACTGGGGCTGAAAGACAAATCTCTGTTTGCACAGTTCAATTCCCATTTCTGTCTTGCCCTGAGACTGTACATTTAGTTCACTGAACTCTTAGTTATAAATTTAAAAAGTACTATTTTACTAGATCTTTAAACATTTAAAAGCTTCTATATAATTGTCAGCTTAGCAGAAAAGTACTCCTCTTTCTACAGATTCTTAATCTCCAAATTGCATGTGGGTATATATATACTTGTATACATATAGATATATGTATATATGTTGTCCACTTTCTATGTATCATAGGCTTGGAAAAATACATCAGGAAGCCATTTGTGTTAGCTATTGCTACTGATGGAGTTCAAGACATACTACCTCAAAATAAGGCACCTTGGCATACTGAATTTGTAAAGCTGAAGAAATCTGAGAAAATGGCAGAAGCCAGAAAGTCACTCTCACCTTCGCCCCACCATTCTTTCCGTAAGCAGGTCATAAAATCTAGAAAGAATTATCTGACCTTACCTTGAAGCAGATCATAAGACTCCCATTTGAGAGACGCCATCCTCATACTCAAGTAAAAGAAACATCTTCATCTCTGAAGATGCAGGGTCACAGAGAAGAAAGTGAACAAACAGGGCTTGCTAGCTTCCCCCCAGTTTATACCATGAGATTATACCCCGTTGTCTACTATATTTCTCTATGACTGTCCATTCTTCAACAAACAGCATAAAAATATATAAGTTTAACTGTTTAACTGTTTCTTTGGGTCTTCATTTCCTTACGTAAAACCTATATTTGATGGTTTTCTTTTCTTGCTAATCTGTCTTTTGTTATAGGGGCCCTAGCCATGAACTGAAGATAAGTGAGAAAAATGTTTTCTTCCTCTGCTACATGACTTAACAACCATCTCAGAACTGAGTGGCTTAAAACAACAATCATTTATGATTTGTCAGACCTCTACAGGTGGGTCGGATGTTTCTGCTGATGCAGCCTAGGCTCAGCAAGGCTCACTTGTGTGTCTGTGTTCAGGTGTGGGTCAGCTAGGTGCTTGTGGTGATCTTAGTTGGACTGTCTCACATGTCTGTCCCTTGGTTGTCCTAACTGAGCCAACTCAGCCCGCTCCACGTGTCTCTCATCCTTTAGCATGCTAGCACACGTGTTCTTGTGGAGAAGGCAAAGGACCAAGAGTGAATGTGTAAATGTACTGAATGCTTTTACAAGTCTCTGCTTGCCATTGTCCCATTGACAAAAGTAAATCACATAGTCAAGTTCAAGACCAGCATGGGAAGGTGTAACAAAAAGAGAAGTTCAGGAGAGAATGAGAAAGGGAATGTGAACTTCAGTGAAGGAATTCCAAAAGTCTGAAAAAAATCCCACAGAAAAAGTAACAGAGAGAAACGTATACCCCAAACTCTAAGAGATTTTCTTTGGTGAGCATTCTGTCAGCCTAGAATGCTGCCATTTGGTTTCTCTCACTCAGGTCTCAGTTTGCATGGTCTCAGTTGAAGAGGTCTTGCCTCATTACCCTTTCTCTCACTCAGGTCTCAGTTTGCATGGTCTCCGTTGAGGAGATCTTGCCTCACTACCCTGGCTAACTAAAGACACTTCTCCCTCTTTATGGCTTGCTATCAGAGCACCCCTTTGAACCCTTCACTAGCTGCCAATAATGAAATAATAATCTATCATAATATTTACTTCCCCATTTGGTTATTGATTTTTCCTGTTTTCCTTACTAGAATGTCAGGTCCAGTGACATTGGAGCTGGCTTGTAGCAGCTCCTGAGGACCAGCTGGTAAATTTCCAGAAATTTTGTGAAGTGTTGACATCATGTTGGTAACTTGAAATAAGACACAATGGGAATATTTACTTCATTGAAAGTGGAATGAACTACAAAGCAATTATTTGATTTTGGGAGAGGTGAGTGAGGAGAGGCAGATGTTAAACCTTTACCAGCACATACTGGTCATACTTTCATGAAAGCAGCAGTGGTGTGTCTTTTTCCTCATCTCCTCAGTGTCTAACACATAGCCTTCACATATTAGCACTCAATAAATATTTGTTGAATAAGTGAATAAACTGATACATTAATGGACAAATACATGAATGAATGGATGACTGCCAAAGGGCAATAGGTAGAAAATGGGTCTAGATAGTAGATTTTCTGATGTCTAATCCTTTGAGGGCTCTAATAGTTTTGTAACATTGAGAATTCCCACCTATCTGATACTAAATGGGCCTTGACTTGCCACAGTGCAGCCCTCCATGCCTGTAATCATGATGATCTTAATTAGCCTTGTTTACCTGGAGGCTATACTTGTACTGACTCAACTACCTGCATCTCTCCTAAGCCCCTCCCCATCCTGACACCACAATATGTGATGACATATGTTCTGATGAACCTGTTACTCTAGTCTGGGTGACCTCTGGATTCTGCCTAATTTACTCCTCATCCTGTTGGGACTCTTTAAGTCCACTTCTTCATAGGAAACTCAAGACCCTGATGATATCGCATCTCCAAATATGTCTTGAACCCTTCCATGTTCTCAAATCTTTACTGACACCACCCTAGTACTGGCCACTGTTATCTCATGCCAGGTCTGCTGCTGGATCCTCCTAACTGACCTGTCTCATCCATGATTGCCCATCCTCCATCCACACTCCCAACTACCACCTTAACACTCACCTATCCCCACCCCAAGTAAAAGATTCCCAGACCCTCCTGCTCTTAGGATGAAGTCAGTGCTCTGTAAGATGGCCAAAAAAGCCTGTACCCTTGGGGCCCTACGTACCTTGCTAGCTCTTGAACTGGGCTTTTTCTGTTTCAGTCACTGGAGTCTTCTTTCAGGCTCACAAATTGTCATACTTCCTCCCCTCACAGGCCCTTTGACATGTTCTCCTCTCTGTCTCTAATCCACTTCCTCCACTTTCCCCTTTTTCAGATAACTTCTACTCATCCTGCACCATCAAACTTGATGTTGTCTTCCTGGATACGTCCAGCTGCAATTCTATGGATTAATAGCACCGTATTTCTCTCTGTTTCACAGAGCATTAACCACAGGTGCTATTTGTATGAGTATTCATTTTCATTATTAGGTTTTACAAGCATTTGCTTACCCTCCATTCTCCTCACTGGACTGCTACACGGCGAGAAGTTAGGTGCAGGAGCCATGCCTGGTTTTTCTCACAATTATCTTTCTCTTGCTGTCTCTCTCTCTCTCATTTGCTGGCTCTCTCTCTCTCTCTCTCTCTCACTAGACTATAGAATGGATGAAAAAATGACGGAATGCCACAGAGATCAACATAACTAGGTTATCTATTAATCCAGGAACTTTTTTTAATGTTTTCTCGTAGGAGTATAAGACTACTCAAGAAGCAGTTCTCTCTGATTTCCTCCTACCCCTCATATAAAGATTCCTACATGCTAATCCTGCCCAATTACAGCTCAGACAATTGCTGCTCAGCTTGTGTCATTCTTGCTACAATGAAATCTCTCTTCTAAGTTCATCAGCACCCCAGTTTTGCCAAGCCCATAAATCTCTCATTTCTTATCTTTAGAGACTTTGTCATAGCATTTGACACTATGTGTTATCCTCTCTTTTTTTTCCACTGTTAAAATATTTGATTGTGGTAAAATGCAAACAACATAAAATTTATCATCTTAACCATTTTTAAAGAGTGAATGAATGGCTTTAACTTCAATAACTTATGTACAGTTCATATTCTCATAACTATAGTGCCAAGTCAAGAATTAAACCCTGTAAGATGCCACTGTTTATGCCTTCTTTTTATGTTCTTTCTTATCTGTTAATTCCATTATATAGGAAAAATGCAGAATTAGAATCATGAAAATGATTATAGAAAGAATATTTGAGCAAAACTAGGACATACTGTGAAATGGTCATTTTAATATAATTATACTTTAGGCCATAAAATTATGGAATGTTAGAGGAGACAAAGATCTAGGTATCACCAAGTCTATTTCAGTCACTTTACAAGGAAGGAGGCTCTAAGCCAGGGAAAAGATGCAACTTGTCCAAGTTGCATAACTAGTTGGAATCAGAAACCAGCTTTTCCTTTATGACTGAAGTGATAGTCATAATTTTTTACACAGTAAGTAACAGCAAACAATTGACACTAACTTTTGGAAAATTATCAGCATGCGATTGAGAAACTGGTAGATTGCAGTCATGGCTCAATCTAAGACTACCAATAGTTTTGTTTCATTCAACTTTCTCCTTTTGTTAACCATTTTTAAGTGTATTGCTCATGAGTTTTCAGTCCATTCATATTGTGCACCTAATCTCTACATCTTTTTGATCTTGTATAACTGAAACTCTATACCCATTAAACCACTCCTCATTTTCCCCTACTCCCAGCCCCTGGGGACTATCATTCTATTTTCTATCTCTATTAATTTCATTACTTTCCATGCCTCATGTTATGATTTCAATGCCTCACTTATGTTCTTTCCCTTTTGAAATTCTTTACTCTTTTGCCTTCCAGACTCTCCTAGTTTCCTCTACAGCCTCTCTCCAAAGTTCCCCCTTCTTGGCACTTCTTTTACTCTGATAGTTTGGGTTTCCCCGCAAGCTGACCCTGAGATAAGAATCTGAGTGTAGTAATTTATTTCAGAGGGCAATTCCACTAAACAGTGTTATGGAAGTGGAGAAGTAAGACAAGGAAGGGAAACACTGATAAAATATACATTATCAATAAAAGGTACATTTGTAGACATCTGGAGCTCATTTCCACTGGGGGCTCTGTGAGACAGTGTAGGACATAGCTCAGGGCTGTCCCAAGCAAGCAGGAAGGAGGCTGGGGGATCTATCTACCAACAACTCCCAGCTTTCACCAGCTGAGGGCTCTTCCTAGGGGCATTAACTCTATGGCATTTCCAGCCTGTTCACTGCATTGGCAACCATCTTCCAAGTACAGAAAGTCCTCAGGTAAAGGGTATAATTGCTAGCAGAGGAGATCTGAAGGGCAATAAAAATATCTGCTCATGTCCCCATTTGTTCCTTACCCCTTTTTCTCTACACACGGTCTTGGCTGTTGCATCTCAACAATGCTCATGTCTTCCATTACCTTCCATATGCTGAAAACTTCCAAATCTTTGGCCCAGATTTTCTTCCTATGATCTGACTTCTTATATTTATCTGTTTACATCTGCTTCTGGGGGAGCTTATGGCATCTCAAAATCACCAAATATCCTCCTCCTCTAACTCCAACTTTGGCTATTGGTGACCCTCCTCTGGTTCCTGCCCTTCCCCCAACCCTGGCTAATGGAACTGTGACTCCCTTGGTCTCTTGGGCCTCAGAGTCCCCGCTGCTCACCAGCACTTCTTAAGGATAATCAGTTATAAGACCTGTCCATTCTAATTCCTCAAAAGCTCTCTAATCCATCTCTTCCACCACCACATTTATTTTCTTAATTCAGGTTCTTATCATCTCTCACCCTGACCACTGTGGTATTCTCCATAACTGGACCTCCTCCTACCTGTAATTTAAACTTCATCCAGTCCAGGCCCTAAGCAGTGGCAAAAGTGACTTCATTCTAAGTTACAAGAATTCAATTGTTGCAAATCAGGTCACATCACTCTCCTCTTTTCATCCTTTGAGTGTTGCAGTCAGTTTTAAACTCTGTTTTATTTGATCAATTACAGAAAGATGGCCTTTTCTCTTTTGCTAGTTTCTAGAGAAAGTGGTAAACAATAGACTTAACCCTTTCTTAAATGTTTGGGAGATCATACTTATAAAACCGGTTGGATCTGGGGGCATTTCTGAAGAGGAGGCCTTTTCTTGAATTCTTACTGGCCCATTTTAGTTCTCTCTAATTTGTGGCAGTTTACATTTTTCTAAGAATTTTTTCACACCATCTATATATTCAAATTTAGAGACAGTAATTTACAGTATTCTTTTTTATTTTAAATTTCTGTTGCAGATATATATATGTAGTCTATCCTTTTTAGTTTATGGATTTGTTTATTTGCAAATTTCCCCTTCTCCTCTTCAGTCTCCCCAGAAACCTGTCCTTTTTATTAAGCATTTCAAAGAGCTAGTTTAATTATTGCTACTTGCCATTATTTCCATTTTTCACAATTTCATAAATTTCTGCTATGACCTTTATTTCTATGTCCTTGCTTATTGGATGTGCTTTCCTGCTTCTTTTCCATGTTCTTTATTTGAATGCTTGGCTCACTTTTTTTCTGACTCTTTTTTGGTTTCTTAATACATGTTTTAAACTACACATTTTCTTCTATGTTCTACTTTTAGGTCCCCAGAATTTGACATGTGGTATTTCATTCATTCCTAAATATTTAATTCAGGTGTTTTGTAGAGTATGGAAGTAGGAGTGAGCAACCTAACCTCTTAAATTCCTGAATACTATCAAAGGAGGAATCTCTCTTGAGGAAGATTCCAGGAGAACAAAGCAAAGAGATCACTAGAAACACTGAAAGCTAAAATATCAATTTCTTTCATGTGTTTAAATATAAGCAATGTTTTGGTCTCTCAACCTTCATCCCTAGAAAAGGGAAGAAAAGGACCTTTGAATGCATGAAAATGATAGATGGGGGATTCTAATGCATTTCACTTTAACTGGTCTGTTTTCTAGGATTAGCGTTTGTTCTGGATACAAATCAGAGGTAAAATTTTGTGAGACTTCTTTCACATTTGTTGTTATTAAATAAGAGAAATAAAACCTTTTTATCAAATAATATCATGAGCTATTTATCTTGTTACAGTAACCTTATCTGGTTTCATCTTACAAATGTCACATTTTTTTCTCGCAATTAAAATAATTAAATTATATACTTGCTGTTAGACCAATTTGTTTTTTAGCAGTTTATGCTTTTCTTGTAAAGTAAATATATAGAGAAAGTTCATTTATGGGATCTAATAAAATTTAAGAAATTCTTTCTAATTTTTAATACAAGTCTTACTTCATTAATCTCAAAAACAGAACACCAGAATACAACACGCACACAAACACAAATATACTCTCATACATACACACAAGTCCAGATGTGTAAATAAGTATGTATTTCAAAGAAATAACATGTTTTCTGTTATATTTTGTTGTTTATAAATAATTCATAATTTTAGCTACATTGAATAAAAATTACAAATTCAGTAATGGAAAACAGTATATTGATTTATCATTTTCATTTTATAACATCATAATTTCTTTTCCTCATGTGTTTGGTAATATGCCCCTCAAGATACATTCTGTAAGATAGATATTTTCATATGTATCATAACATAGCTGTTTGTATTGACTTTTGTTTTTTTTTGAGACGGAGTCTCACTCTGTCACTGGGCTGGAGTGCAATGGTACGATCTCGGCTCACTGCAACCTCCGCCTCCCTGGTTCAAGTGATTTTCCTGCCTCGGCCTCCCAAGTAGCTAGGACTATAGGTGTGCACCACCGCACCCAGCTAATTTTTGTATTTTTAGTAGAGATGGGGTTTCACCATGTTGGCCAGGATGATCTCGATCTCTTGACCTCGTGATCCACTCACTTTGGCCTCCCAAAGTGCTTGGGATTACAGGCGTGAGCCACTGCACCCAGCCATCTTTTTGTATTGATAAATAATGTCCCATTTTTGCTGACAGAGAAGATGGGTTTGGCTAATGGGTTTTAAAATTAGGCCTAGCCTTGCCAATTACGTCATTCAGGGGTCTTTTTAACTCATTGATCTATACCTCTGAGATTTTCATGAAAAAAATGTATTGAAGGCCTGTGATATCTTAAGACATTTTAAAAGCATTTAATAAAATGTTTTTTGCAAAGTACAATACAAAGTACAGAAATAAGCAATATTTTGATTTTCCAAAGCTTTTCAGAGTATATCTCTGGTTAAAAGAGTAATAAACTTTGTAAATAGTAGTTGATTCACCTTTTTGCTGTTTCTCCCAGATAATGAGAACTTGAACTACTCTAGAGATTGGGATAGAAATCCTTTTACAAGTCTGGGGATTTCCATTTATGAGCTTTCAGCAAAATTGACGGAGGGCTTCATAAAGCTCATAGCTGATAGAATTATTAAAAGAGTTGTATGGCCGGGTGCGGTGGCTCACGCCTGTAATCCCAGCACTTTGGGAGGCCGAGAAGGGCGGATCATGAGGTCAGGAGATTGAGACCATCCTGGCTAACATGGTGAAACCCCATCTCTACTAAAAACACAAAAAATTAGCCGGGCGTGGTGGCGGGCGCCTGTAGTCCCAGCTACTCAGGAGGCTGAGGCAGGAGAATGGCGTGAACCCAGGAGGCAGAGCTTGCAGTGAGCCGAGATTGAGCCACTGCACTCCAGCCTGGGCAACAGAGTAAGGCTCTGTCTCAGAAAAAAAGAGAAAAAAAAAAGAGTTGTATGATGGGCAACAATGTGATTTTGGCATATATTTGGAAAGTTCAAGCAATTGAATGCCATTGCTGTATTAAAATCCCTTTTAATCTTATGTACTTGTTTATAAGAACAAGCTTTCACAGTAACTATATATATATATATATATACACACACACACATATGATAATACAAATAGAGTCCATGATCAGACCTATGTTCTTTTAGCAATAAATAAATATTTATGGGCCGAGTGAGATGGCTCACATTTGTAATCCCAGCACTTTGGGAGGCCGAGGTGGGCAGATTTCTTTAGCCCAGGATTTCACGACGAGCCTCGGCAATGCGGCAAACTTTGTCTCTAAAAAAAAAAAAAAAGAAAAAGAAAATTAACTGGCATGGTGTTGGACACCTGTAGTCCCAGCATCTCAGGAGGCTAAAGTGGAAGGATTTCTTGAGCCCAGGAGGTGGAGGAGGCTGCAGTGAGCTGTGATCACACCATTGTACTCTAGCCTGGGTAACAGAATGAGACCCTGTCTCAAAAAAAGAAAAAAAAAAAGAAAGAATTGTGACCTTCATAGACATCCACAAATATATGAATTGGGAAAAAGTCCCATTTATCTCATTAAGAGATGCATTTGTGATAAAATTTTGCTTTTCTGTTTAATATTTATTTATCAAAATTTGTAATAGCTTTATAATGCTTTTATCAATTGTGAATTACTAATAATTACAATTTTATTTCAATATATATTAAAATATTTCAAATTTTATGATCATCAACAAAAAATTTCAATCTGTTATATATATTTTTGGTGCTTAGAAGAATGTAGAATGACTAAAAACAACTTTCAAATATAAAATAAATTAGGATAAAACTCTGTAGGGGAATCATAATAAAAATTTGATTTCAGGTAATAAAAGAAATGATGTAAATTTTCTGACTGTCATTGGAGAATTTGTTCTTTTTGATGAATGATGCTAAATTTTAAAGTGTCATTTAGTATTAAGATTCCTTTGGGTATATTTAAAATATGATGTAAGAATGCTATTACATCATTGAATTCAATTTAAAAGTTGTGAGAGGATCTATACTTTTTCCAGATTAGTTTTGGAATATGGCAACAAAATATTTAAACAAAGCACGAAGATTGCTTGAGCCCAGGTGTTCAGAACCAGCCTGGACAACATAGTGAGACCTTGTCTCTACACAAAATAAAAAAATAGCCATGTTGTGGCACACACCTACAGTCCCAGCTACTCAGAAGGCTGAAGTGGGAGGATCATTTGAGCTTGAGAGGTTGATGCTGCAGAGAGACCCTGAGTGAGACTCTGTCTCAAATTTTATTTTAATTTGGAGAAAAGAACATTTAAATACCATTGTCTTGAGATGCCACTTATAGGGAAAAAGGCTCACGTGTGGGCAGTATTAGGGAACATACAGCATCCCAGCCGCATGTGGTAAGAATGCTTTGAAACTGGGATGGGTCATGGTAGAAGTTCCATGCAAATATCTCAGGAAAAAAAGCCCTTTGGCATACTGGCTGCCAGCACAGTCAAGCTCTCATCTCAGTTTTCATGACTCTCCAAGTGTAACTCAAGTTCCTACAATTCATGGCTCTTGCTATTATGAAAAATTATCCAAAACTTTGCATTTTCATGTCGTGCTACAATATTCTTTGATAAACCTGCCTGTGGTTCATCTGATGCTCTAGGGCAGTGTGGCCCAAGGGAACTCTCTGTGATGATGGGCATGTTCTCTATGGGAGCTGTTCCATATGGTGACCACCAGCCGTATGTGTCTGTTGAACACCTGAAACATGGCTAGTTTCGCTAAAAAACTGAAACTGTAGTGTACATGAGTTTAATTAATTTAATTTGAAGTTTAAAAAGCTACATGCAACTTGGCTACTGTATTGGATAAAACAGCTCTGGCATAATGTACCTTTTTTTGATTCACTATTTCCTATTGATTAGGGCCCAGACTGTAATAAAAAAAAGTTAAAGATTAACTTTGCAAAGACTGGTAAATTGCGAATGATTTCTGTCCTGTACTACAGGGCAATAAAACAGGACCACAATTGTATTTCCCCGTAGTACATTAACTAGTTTTCTATCTAATTAACAATCTTATTTCCACATTCTTTCACTGATAATATGTGCTTCAGTCTATTTAACCCTCCTTTGAACCAGGTTTACTGTCCCATTTTTTCTGCCATTAATGAGTTTCTGCTACAAATTGACACACCTTTCCTACATATTTATGAGGAAGTAGTGCTTTTGAAGTTTTTGGGAATTATACTCTGATGATGTATCCCATCTGACTTCACTTACTATTTACTGAGTTCTGCTAGTCCTCACATTTTGCTCCTGGCTATGATCCTGAAGCAACCGCCAATCACTTAGATTTGCGTGGGACCCAATTTCTATTTGCATTTGCTAGAGGAAAGAAAGTGGGTTTAGAAGTCAGATACAGTGGGTTAAAAATCCAGCTCTGGGCGGGGTGTGGTGGCTCATGCCTGTAATCCCAGCACTTTGGGATCACCTGAGTTTGGGAGTTTGAGACCAGCTTGACCAACATGGTGAAACCCCATCAGTACTAAAAATACAAAAATTAGCCAGGGGTGGTGGTGGATGCCTGTAATCCCAGCTATTCAGGAGGCTGAACCCGGGTGGTGGAGGTCGCAGTGAGCCAAGATCGCACCATTGCACTCCAGCCTGGGTGACAAAGAGTGAGACTCTGTCTCAAAAAAAAAAAAAAAAAAAAAAAAAAGAAAGGAAAAGAAAAAACAGCCAGCTCTGCTGCTTATATCATTGTATAACCTGAAAAAAATTATGATGGTAAATATAATAGGAACTGTCTAATATGGTTGCTATGAGGAACAAATGATGGTAATTTGCTCAGTGCACTGCCTAGCAACTGTAAGTGTTCAATGAAAATTAGCTGCTTCACTGGTTTGAAGTTTCTAGCCCTATCTCCTTTCTCCATATCCACTGGCCTTTTGCGTTGCAGAGCAACCTCATTCTGGAAGCTTTCTTCCATCCCCACTCTTTGCTGAATGGCATTTACCAAAAGTCACTGTTACGGTCTGAATTTTGTCCCTCCAAATTCATTTGTTGAAGTCCTAATCCCCATTCATTACCTCAGAATGTAACCATATTTGGAAATAGGATCTTTAAAGTGGTAATTAAGTAAAAATAAGATCATTAGGGTGGACTCTAATCCAGTGTGACTGGTGCACTTATAAGAGGAGAAAATTTGGACATAGGCATGTACAGAGGGAAGGCTCTGTAAAGACACAGGGAGGAAACGGCCATCAATGAGCCAAAGAGAGCAGCCTCAGAAAAACCCAACCTTCATGACACTTTGATCTCAGCCTCCAGGGCTGTGAGAAAATGAATTTCTGTTGTTTAAGCCTCCTAGTCTGTGGTACTTTATTACGGCAACCCTAACAAACTAATTCTGTTTAAAGATAAAATATCTATCATCTCAGTTAAAATGCAGAGTTCTGTTAATAAGAAAAATACTTTGTCTATTAATCATTTACACTATAGCATGAAGTTTAAAGGTTTAGACCAAATACTGAAGTGAAAAAAAAATAGGGAAATGAGACAGGAGACTTCGGTTTCGAAAGAATTACTGCAGAACTGTCATTCGGTTAGGGGAAAGGTCCACTGGTGGGTTGGTTTGAAGCCTCTGCTCTAGGATGGTTTTGTCCTGAAAAATTCAACTCTCTTTCTAAGGGCCTCTCATCCTTTTGCAAGCTAGCTCAGGCTTGTTCTGCTAGTGGTGGCCAGGATAGAAGAATAAAAATGAAAGTAAAGTCTCTGGAGGCCCAGCCTCAAAACTGCAACACCAGTTTTAGCTCATTCTATTCACCAAAGCTAATCCCAAGGCCAGTTCAGAGTCACTGGGTGGGAAAATCTCTTGGTAAGAAGAGTGGCAAAGTCACATTGGAAAGACAGTGGATTCAGAAAGGGGCAGAGAATTAGAATCATCTTGTAATATACTAAAATATAAGCTGATTATATATTATATTTTGATGTTTTTGGAACTTCTGCACTTTTTTTTGCATCAGTGCCTTCATAGTATATCTTTATATGTCCTTCAGACAAGATGTGCTTTGAGAGATGTGAAACGTGGAAAATTAAAAATTATGTGGGTTGAATTCTCATTCTCTTCAGTGTCCACCTAATGCAAACGGTTATTTTAAGCATGTGAGAACTGCCAACAGATAAGGAATGTGCTTGTTTTTATAAAGAAACTGAGGCTTTGATACTTTGCAGCAAGAAAGATAGCTCAGGATATGGGTGAGAATGAGGGCAGACTGAGAAATTCCTCAATGGACATCGTTTGAAAAAGCCCATACTTGAAACTAGGAAGGAAATTAGTAAGCCTACTAAATACCTGAAGGTGATATCCACGAGTCCAAGCCCAAGGGGGCATACAGAAAATCAGAGAATGACCCAGCAGGGCCAGGTGCCAACCCACTTCATTAGAGCAAAGAGTTGCACTTGGTATTGAGAAAGCTGCAGAGCAGATGTCTGCAAACTGTTTCTGTGAAGAGCAAGGCAGTATTTTTCATATGGTCAGCGGTCTTATGGTCTCTGCCATAATCACTCAACCCTGACTTTATAGTGTGAAAGCAGTCATAGACGATATGCAAATAGATGGGGTATGGTGGCTCATGCTTGTAATCCCAGCACTTTGGGAGGCTGAGACGGGAAGATTGCTTGAGCTCAGGAGTCTGAGACTGGCCTGGGCAATATAAAGAGACCCTGTCTCTACAGGCTACAGTGTAGCCTCAAACGACTGCATCACTGCACTCCAGCCTAGGTGACAGAGGGAGACACTGTCTCAAAAAAGAAAGAAAAGAAAGAAAGAAAAAAGAAGACAATACTCAAACTAATGGAGATAGCTGCATTTCCTTCATTTGCAACTTTATTTACAAAACATTATTTATAAATACACTTCATTTACAAAAATAGGTGGTGGGGCCAGATTTGGCCCATGAATCATAGTTTGCCAGTTCCTGCTCTAGAAGAACATTCTTCTGTCATTGAAAAATACATCATTGAGAATGCAAGAGACTTCTGATACTGAAGACTCAAGTAAATAAAATGAATGAGAATAATTAGCAGAAGAAAATAAGAGGCCTCTAGAAAATGCAGAAATTGAGATAACACGTACTCGAAAGATGGTTTTGGCCTATTGGGAGAGGCTAGTGATTCTACGACAACAAAGAAACAACAAATACAGAAACAAGTAAATACAGAAGAGCAACCAGGTGTTTCAGGCGTGAAGAATGTGATTCTTCCAAACAGGCCTGAAGCAATAGATCATGGGATGCCACAAGCTACATTCCCTGTAGACAGCAGGGCAACCCTGATTTTCATGAAGGGCCTTGTGAGTCAATAACTCATAGTGCCTTATCAAGAAATTGTTCATCAGCCATTTTCTTCCAGAGGGTGTTTCTTCTAGAAAGAGACAAAAAAAACGAACGACAGCACAACAGTTTTATCAAACTTTAAGACTACCTTAAAATCAATAAAGATTGTCAAATATGAACAAAAAAAGTAGCAAAGACTTTTTTGAGGAGTGAAGATCAAGATACAAAAGAAACACCCCTCTGAAGAAGGAACTGCATAAAGTTTCCAACTAGAATCTTTTCAAAAATGAATAAAATAGCCAGTGAAATGCTGGTAGGAAGTGTACTTGTTGTTTTGGGAAAACTAGGAAGTGCAAAATGTAGAACACAAAAGAAAACAAATAAAACAAAATCAAACAACTAGAACAAGGTGTTGGAAGGCAAAAGCTTGATAAAAATATCACAAATATTTTCAAGGATTTTTTTGAAACTTTCAAAGTGAATAAAAGCCTTGGTGAAGCTAAGCTCGGCAAAGAGAAGAGGAAGTCTGGCCTCTGAAGGTTAAAGAGAAAAATCTAGACCTAAAGAGGGCATGGAGCAGTACCACAGGAAGCAGAAAACTGGATGAAGGGAACACTTGGCTGAGAGAACTAATCAAATTACAGTTTATTATAAAACTCGGAAAGACATAGAGGAAGCTTGTTTTTTTTTACCATACACGAAAAAGAATTGGACATTTTGAATAATTGCATTGGGCAGCTGAAATAACTGGCAAATCACCAGAGTGAGAAGATAAAATAAATCAGAGATGACAGATGAGATATGTCTCCTGGGGAGAATCTTCATTAACAATAGCTAGAGAAGATTGAGGCCATTTCCCATCCAAGCTGAAGGATGAGGTGTCAACCAAGCATGGACTGGAAGAACAAATAAAGAAAGTGAGTTTTGCTCACTGCATTCAGCAAAGCTCTCCTGGAAAATGAATGCAAAACCTTGCAGCACAGTGTAGAAATCCTGAAGGGACATAAAGACATACTTCTGTAAAAGCAGCTGATTTAGGAAGAGAATATATGGGAAAAGAGAGCAAAAGCAATCAGCTGCAAAGGAGATACAAATTATAGATGCAGAGAATTCAAGAAACAGAGGAAGAATTGCAGAAATTAGCAACATCCGCACGCAATTCATAAGAAAGCCCATCATTGCTTGAGATAAAAAATAATACCAATGCATAAAAAGAGAAATACTCCAAAAACTAGAGACTCTAAAACTCAATCCAGGAATACATAATCATGAAAATCCCCCCTGCAACAAAATTTCTAACTTGGGGGACAAACTATATCATACATTAGAATCACCAAGAGGGCTAGATGAAACAAGGATGGTTGGGCCTCGTTTCCAAGTTTCTGATTCAGTAGATCTAGGGTGAGGTCTGAAATTTCTAAAGAAATTCTTGACTGGGCACGGTGGCTCACACCTGTAATCCCAGCACTTTGGGAGGCCGAGGCTGGCAGATCACAACGTCAGGAGATTGAGACCATCCTGGCCAACATGGTGAAACCCCATCTCTGCTAAAATACAAAAAATTAGCCGTGCGTGGTGGCACGCGCCTGTAGTCCCAGCTACTTGCGAGGCTGAGGCAGGGGAATCACTTGAACCCAGGAGGCGGAGTTTGCAGTGAGCCGAGATCGCGCCACTGCACTCCAGCCTGGTGACAGAGCAAGACTCTGTCTGAAAAAAAAAGAAAGAAATTCTCTGGTGATGCTTATGCTGCTGGTCTAAGAACCACACTTTGTGAACCACTGCTGTAAACCAATCCTGGTCACATATTAGAGTTACCTAGGCCCGTTGTAGACCTATTCAATCAGAATCTCTGTGGGTGGGGCTCAGGTTATGGGTATTTTTTGAAGCATTTCATACGATTACATCACATCCAGGCTTAAGAACCACTGCAGTCAGCCAAGATGGTTCTTTTGACCAGTACACTAAAATTGGAAACATATTTGCTGTCGTCTCTACTGATGACATATTCACCTTTGATGTCTTTCTTTTCCCTTAACAGAGGAAATTTATCCAGAAATGAACCTGCCCAATGTATGGTCCTCCACCTAGTCTTAGAGAATCATCTGATTTGTCAGTGAAATAGTAGCTGCCTCTGATTTGGGTTCTGGTGAAGCTTCATTGAGAAACTCAAGGAGCCACTTAGAGGATAGATCATGGGTTTAATTCCAGTGCCAAGTCCCCCACCTCCTTATCCATCATTTCACCCTTTCCCAGGTATGCTGAGATCTCACCAACAGGAGGATGCCCATCACCTTCTGACCTACTTGAACCTCTTCCCAAAGCCTGGGGAACTCATCTGTTTTCACTCTTTCTTTCACCTATGGTTTTTGCTGTGCATTTATTTCTAGACCTAAGTAAATAACCTTGGCTTTCACCTAGAATAAACAACTTGCCTTTCACTCCTTTGAGAAAGGACTTGAGCACCCAAGATTTAGATATTCAGACTCTCCTGGTTCAAGAAAGTGCATTTTGTCTTGGATCAATATCTCTAACTTCAATCCCTAGACAAAATCCAGATAGCTTTTCACCTCTACCTTTGCAAGATCCTTTTCAGCTTTGGGTTTATTAGCATCCTTACCATATGCATGAGCACACGCATGCATGCACGCAACACACACATCCACACTTCATAGCAGTGCAAAGGACAATTCATAGGCCTCCACCAGGCTTTCTCATTGTTTAAGACAATAAATAGATGACTTGAACATTTCACTTGATTCAAAATCCCATATTTTTTCATTTTTCTTGACGTAAAATGTATAAACAGAGCAATGCCTAGCTTTTAAATATAAAATTGGATGAATTTTGACAAATGTAGCATTTCCCAAATAGAAATTTTGGTCATCTTATGCCTCATTCTCTTATGCCTCATTTCAGTCAATTCAATAAGTAACCTCTGTTCTGATTTCTAT